>NC_000006.12:13696363-13847878 GCF_000001405.40 Homo sapiens
ACAAATACACATTTCCCAGCTGAAACCTAAAATTCTAAGTCCAACATCTGTAAAATACCTATGAATCACCAACTGACTATGATTACTAGTTTGAGAGGATTTAACTTCTTAGCAGAATTCACGAAAAAGCAGTGTAAGAAAAGTCATGGAAAATGAGTCACCATCCCTTCATTCCTTAATTCCAAATTCTCCATTTTAATAATAAACCTACCAGAAAAGCTTAGTTAATATCACCAACTCAAGCTTTAACTTCAGCTAGTATTTAAGCATAACCAGATCCAATCTGTTATACTGAAATATTCAGATTCCACTTTTCCAATTAGCAAAATTTCCAGGATTCCAACTTTCCAATTACATCATAAACATTATGAACCAAAACAAAAAAACTAGCAAACGATTTTTCTCACCAAAATTTACTTACCCATCTCTTCCCTTACTGACAATTTTTACTTCAAAATAATAAATCCCACAGGCTGCTGGTATTGGATGCGTGGCTCGAACTGACGCGGCATCTTTTGGGGTTTTGCCATGACCTGCATAGAAACAGGAAGGAAAAAAGAAGTCACATGAGATATTCACTGAAAGATGAAAACCTTAAACAATTCAGGAACATATAGGTTTTTGGAATGATGTATTATTTCTGCTCCTATCAGTTCAAATACTCAATAAAACGTTTATCATCACCATGAACCCAATATGCAAAATAGCCCAAGTTAACCACAGAACTCTTCACACTATTACTAGTTTTATTAAGATTGCAGAATCCAAATATGGAAATTGAACCTAGCAGCCTTTTATGCAAATTAAATAAAAGACATTATAGAGTACACTATATTTTTAAGAGGAAAAAGGCTGTATGAAGAACATGAGAGAAAGATCTCAATTTTATCAGGTCTAAATTTGCATATAACTTATATAATTTCTGTACACTCTTGCCAAAGTCCTGGCTCTTTAAACCAGAAGCATCTGTATTGTATATTTCTAAGTGAAATCTTACACAATTAGATTGAATTGGCAAAACAGCTTTCTTAAGAATTTACAGTTTTGTTCTTTGGTATAGTCTTATTAATTAAAGCTGATTCATAAAATCTCTTGGGCCAATAATAGCTTATTGAGAAATACATCTAATTTCTAAACGTATTTTTTTCTTTTTAAACAACAGAAGTAACACCATGCCACTGCTGACACTTTAGAAAATCTTTTAGATAATGGCTTTCAAACTTTTTAAACCAGCTATTCCTCAATTCTAATCCCACAGGGTTTGCTAAACTCACAATCACTTCCCCTACCTCTCGCCCAAGACACAAATTACCTTGAAAGCTAGCATGTAGACAATATTAAGAGAAAATATGTCCACAAAACCATGGAAGAATAAAGAAAGAAGTTGAAGTAGCATGTCAGAAAGTACTCATAGAGTATGAGTGAGACAAGTCTCCATATCCCCAAAAGGACTGCATGAGAAACAATACTCTAAATCATTATTGGGGTGTTCTAGTTAAATATGCTCCACGCAATACAAACTTCGCATTAATCTTTCAGTCATACTATAAAATTATCTTCATGGGTAGCAGAATTCTCCTTAAATTTAT
Source organism: Homo sapiens (assembly GCF_000001405.40). Taxonomy (NCBI): domain Eukaryota; kingdom Metazoa; phylum Chordata; class Mammalia; order Primates; family Hominidae; genus Homo; species Homo sapiens. Next base: position 13,697,953 of record NC_000006.12, read on the forward strand.
GATTGTTTTAAAACTAAATACCTTCTTGTAAGTCAAAAATTGTATCTTAAGATATACAATCATCACACATGAATGAGATCATATCCTCCCTTACCACACACTTGACCAAATTTATCAAATTTCCAACACATGCCTTATTACTATTAAACACTTAAGTTTACACTTGCAATGCAAATTAGTACATGTTCACACCCCCCACTCCCCCCACAAAAAAATGGAATGAATTCTGCCACTCCTTCCATTACCATGAAAACTTGGGTTATGGGCAGAAGTTCTTTTAGCCTGGTGACCATAAGGAGTCAACAAGCTTGGCTAGGCAAGACAAAAATGGAAGCAACAGTATTTACATGCATCAAAACTACTTCAACATATGATGCAGGTAATAGATTTACACTGAGCTAAGCAGCAGAAAAGAAACAATTGCACAAGTCTGTGCACTAGTCACTTTTTAATAAAATTTAATTATGGTGGCAGTAAAACACATTTTTCAGTCAAAATATGTTCAAATAATTAAGTTACCTGAGAAAAGGCCATGGAAACTACATATTTAAAAATTAGATTGTTACAAATAAATCTATAGAAAACTATCTAAACAAAATCTAACTGCAGTTCTAAATCCACTGATTTTTTAAGGGGAGTGACCCAAACTTTTAGTGATAAAGTAATCCCAAAGTATTCTTAATAACAAATAATAGTTACATATATTTAATACCGTGTGAAAGGCACTGCTCTAAGAGCATTAAGTTTATTAACTCATTTAATATCCAAAACAACCCCATGAGGTAGGTACTATCTATTATCATTTCACAGTTGAGGAATCCAAGGGAAGATAATGAAACTCGCCCAAAGTCATACTGCTAAAAGCGAATTCCAAACCAGGATTTGTGCTGGGATTTAAATTCAAGAAACCTGATCTAGTGTGAGCTCTGAACCCACATGAAGGATTTAGTTACAATGAACATTCGGGGATCACTTCACATATCCCCATGTCCTATTCTGACTACTTCTACGGGAAAAGAGAAAGAAACCAATATTTGAAAGTAAACAGTCTCTCAAAGAGTTGGGTGCTTTTGTATGGATTTTTCTCTTTCAACATTTACGAAATAGGTATTATTTAACCTCACTTTTTGAAATGAAGAAATCTGTAATCTGTCATGGGCCTACAGAAAAAAAAATAAAATGTTTACACATTATATACCCAGCCCCAAATTGGTAGAAACATATATTAGATCCATGCATGAATTAAAATCCCATACATTTTTCCATTATGCAAAAATTACTATAAAGTACCAGTTATAAATCTTCAAGGATCCATTATATTTGTTAGGATTCACTAATTGCAGATAAATTCTGTAAATATTAAAACTAAAAAGATTTGTTTCATGTTTAAATTAAAATTTAAATTAGATGTAAAAGGTATAAGGAAAAGTTTAAATGCAAGATTATAAGGTTTCATATTATTTCTTAAATGAGACCAGTCCAAGTTGAGTATCCCTTATCTGACATGCTTGGGACCAGAAGTGTTTTAGATTTTTTTCAGATTTTACAATATTTGTGCATACTTACCAGTTGAGCATCCTAAATCCAAAAATCCAAAATCTAAAATGTTTCATTGGGCATTTCCTTTGAGCCGGGCGTGGTGGCTCATGCCTGTAATTCCAGCACTTTGGGAGGCTGAGGCGGGCGATCACTTGAGGTCAGGAGTTCAAGACCAGCTTGGCCAACATGGTGAAACCCTGTCTGTACTAAAAATACAAAAATTAGCCTGGCATGGTAGTGTGCGCCTGTAATCCCAGCTACTCAGGAGGCTGAGGCACAAGAATCGCTTGAACTTGGGAGGCAGAAGTTGCAAGGGCCTGACAGCGCCACTACACTCCAGCCTGAGCAATAGAGTGAGACTCTGTCCCAAAAATAAAAAAATAAAAAATCAAGTTTTGAATTCTGAAAGCATTTTGAATTTCAGATTTGGGATGCTCAAACTTGTAATATCAGCAGCAAAGGGCCTATTTCTAACAATGCTCATCACCTGAAAGTTTATTATTACCTCAAATTCTGTGGTAACCAAAAAACAACCTCATACTACCAAAGTTTAAACTTTTAAAACTACAAAGTCTTCAGTATTAAGTGTTTTCTATGTGGCTTTAGAAGAAAACATATGTAATACTTCCTAATTCTAAGGCTAGCAAGTTTAGCTCTTTTTATTCAAACAATCTGATGGAAAGAGTTTGAATAAACCATTCTACCCTATTCCCACTCCCTTCCAGTCGCCAACATGCAGCCAGCCAGTGCCTTTCTGGAAATATAAATCAGCCGTCCTTCTATCAGTAGCCCTCAATACAACTAAGATTCCTTCCAAAGCCTCCTCTTTGGCCTAGGAAAAAGACACGCTTCCTGAGCACCTTGTCTGGTCTTGCTCTCCACCTGCACTTTCCACCTCCTTTCTGCTCCAGCCGCATCAGCACTATTTCAATTCTTCACATTGATCAGGCCAGTCTGTAAACATGCTATTCCCTCCACCTTTCCTTCTTAGCCTGAGTAGGTAGGTCCTACTCACACTTTAAATCTTAGCTCAAGCTTTACTTCCTCAAATATTCTTTCTCTAATCTCTCCAACTTGGTTGAAGCTCCTTTTTACAAGCCCTCATAGCAACATGTATCTCTCCTGCACATTTACACACTTAACACTCACGTTTAATTATTTTTTCCCTGCGTTTTAATTCCTGAACCTCTTTATTCCCGCTAACTTCCACTCTAACTTCAATCATTCCTTCTTGAAGAAGCAAAAGCTCAAGACCCAGAGTCTAAAGCTGCAACAGACCAAGCCACCTGTAATATCGGGCACAGTGAAAATTTAACTGGGCTTTTATTTTACTAGGACTGTAATTTTTGTAGTGTTCTGATTAATGCCTACAAAGTTCCCAAGGTTTTAAGGGGTTGCTCCAGCTTTATAGTTTGCATAAGTCCTGTTACTTTTAGCGCATTGATTTTGTGGAAAACATGGTTTTCCAGCCACGCATTCAGGACATTATTGCAGAAACACCGGTATCTTCCTCCAGAACACACCATCCTGTTCTATCCCCTTTCTAAAGCCTTCACGTCTATACTTCAACATCATGGGAACTCTAATTCCTCAAACTCTTTGTGTTTTTTCTCCCTTTTTCCTCTTCCAGGACAGGCTACATGGTAATCACTTAAAGCTCTCAAATATCCTTGATTTCCCTCATATGCCCATCATTCTATCATATCCAACCAGCAAAATGACACTCTCAGTATCATAATCTACCTTCCATACTCCCACACTGGACAGTTGACTTCCAATGAATAAAGTCCAAAATCTTATGAACAGCCACTGCTATGAACTAATGATGTCAACTGAGCACTCTCAATGCTACCAACAATATTTTTAGAAATGTTGTCAGCTTATTCCCTATCCCTCTCAATGGCTTAGTCCACATTTTCATCATTTACTTTAAACTTTACATCCTCTACTCAAATTCATGAGCAAAGTACCTCACCTCTTATCAAGAAAACAGGAGGCCAGCTGGGTGCGGTGGCTCACACCTGTAATCCCAGCACTTTGGGAGGCCAAGGCAGGCGGATTGCCTGAGGTCTGGAGTTCGAGACCAGCCTGGCCAACATAAAACCCCATCTCCACTAAAAATACAAAAAGTGGCCAGGCATGGTGGTGCGCAACTGTATTCCCAGCTACTTGGGAGGCTGAGGCGGAAGAATGGCTTGAACCCTGGAGGCAGAGATTGCAGTGACCCGACGTTGTACCACTGCACTCCAGCCTGGGCGACAAGAGCAAGGCTCCATCTCAAAAAAAAAAAACCAAAAAAACAAAAAACGAGAGGCCATTAGCTATGGTCATATTCAACTCTCCACTCTTTTATTACAAAGTGATCTATGTCCACGGCAGTCTTCACCTCTTCCACTATTATCAAAGAACAGTCTGTACTCTCCTCTCCAAGACCAACCATTCTGGACTCTGGAACCAGTTTCCTCTCTAGAAGCCTCTCTGTCAGCCTCTCAAGCTTGTATTTCATTATCTTCCTCTCTAATCTCTCCTTCCCCTCAATCTGTAAAGGGACAATGTCCCCAAAATGTACACTTTTCACAAATTCTATGCCTCCGTGCTACATATAAATCATTGTCAGTAATGTACCAGAGTTGGTGGTATATAATTTTTTACCTTAAAAGTAATAACAAGGCTGGGCGCAGTGGCTCATGCCTGTAATCCCAGCACTTTGGGAGGCCAAGGTGGGTGGATCACTTGAGGTCAGGAGTTCGAGACCAGCCTGGCCAACATGGTGAAATCCCATCTCTACTAAAAACATAAAACTTAGCCAGGCATGGTGGCGGGTGTGTGTAATCTCAGCTATTCGGGAGGCTGAGGGAGGAGAATTGCTTAAACCTGGGATCCGGCCTGACAAAGCGAGACTCTGTTCAAGAAAAAATAGTAATAATAACCAGGTAGGCTAATCAATTTTATTTGTTAAAATGTTAAATTTTGTATACATTTCCTGGAACACCATACCTTGGACTAATATAATATAGTATTTTCATTTAATTTATGTCGCTTCAGTTTTACCTATACAACCAAATTAAAACAAGATTGACTAAGAAATGACACAGTGGTCTCTAACACAATACTTTCCAAAGGAATTTTTAAGGATAATTTTGGTTATGTAGGATTTTCATCTTCTATGCTGACATTAGAAGCTAAACACCAGGTAAAACGTAACTCCACTATCAGCCGTTAAAAATTAGAAGAAAAAAAAAATCCTACCTTAACCTCCATCCTCCTCTAGGAAATGCCTCATCTCTTCCTTCATCTATATTTCTCAAGGATAATCTCTATTCACTATCCTCTCTACTTGGTCCTTTCATTTACTCTTTCAACCCACTGAAATCTGGTTTTTGCCCCATCACTCAATTCAAACTGCTCTCCCTAAAGTCACAATGATCTAATTTCCAAACGTAGTGGAAAACTATCTGTGCCTATCCTACTAAACCTATCTGTTGCAACAGACACTAAATATCACTTCCTCATTTCTAGGGAAGGTGGGGAGGCTGTTTGAGACAGTGTCTCATTCTGTTGCCCAGGCTAAAATGCAGTGGCATGATCACCGCTGGCTACAGCCTCAACTTCCTGGGTTCAAGCAGTCCTCCCACCTCGACTTCCCCAAGTTTTGGGATTACAGGTGTGAGCCACTGCACCCTCCCGTGCTCAGCTTCTGTGACACCAATCTCCTTGATGTCTGGGGACCTACCATTTCTTTTGTGCTCCCTCTAGTCTTTCAATGTTGGTGTTCTTCAGGGTCCCCATCTTTGGCCCACTGCTTTTTCTCACTCTATTCTCCCTCTCTCTTTCAAATACTCTGAGTTTCAACTACCACCTACAAGTGACTCCTAAATCAGTCACGACCTAGACCTCTCTCCCAAGCTTCAGATCAATTATGGTTAACTGCCAACCCTTCCTAGGAGAAACTGCCTCACACATTGCCCCTACCGAAAGAAGTGAGACCCAGACTATCCTTGTACCAGCAGGGTATTTTGTATTTTATAATTACCACCATTCCTACAGCTGATTCAACACAGGTTAGCACCTGACTTGAAGGCCACCAATTCACAACATAGTCTGTATTGAAAAGCTCTGCCCAACTAAGAATCATAGCAATTAGCCAGGCCAATCTGTTAAGTCTCTCAGGAATTTGACATAGGAAGGAAAGGATAAGCCAGTCAGTAGGGAAAAAGAAATAAAACAACCAGAAACTAGTGATTGGAGCTGAGTCATTTTAATAGAATAGAATTAAGTCATGACTATTAAGACCAGTTAGAGTCCCCTTAACTCCAAAAGACCTGTTCCTGTTCTTTCTGTAAGGCTTGTTTCTTTGGCTTCTTCTGGTTTCCATGAAGTCAGATCACAGGGCTGAGATTCCCATTTTTACTTATCTCCAACTATACTGTAATACAGTCTCCTTCACAATCATTATTTTATTCATGGTTCACTGCAAGAGCCTAACAGCTAAAGACCCAAACATCATCCTAACAGAGTTGGAAACCCAAACATTTTCTTTGATTTCTCTCACTATCATTCCTCATATCCTCTCAGTATTACTTTTAAATATCTCACAAATATATCTGCCTTTCTCTGGCCTTACCACTGACCCAGCTGAGGTCAATTCTAACATGGTCTACTGCAATAGTCTTCTAAATGAATTTACTATTCCCACTCTTGTAACCTCTTGAATCTATCTTCCAATCAGCTGCGTAATCTGACAAAAATGAAGATATGAGCCAGTCACTTCCCATTTAAAATCCTTTGATGATTCTCCATCTCCTACAGAATAAGATCTAAACTCAACAAAATATTCCATAGGGCTCCTAACTGGGCCAGGTACAGTGGCTCCTGCCTGTAATCCTAGCACTTTGGGAGGCTAAGGCAGGCAGATGGCTTGAGCTCAGGAATTCGAGACCAGCCTGGGCAACATGGCAAAACCCCCTTCTCTACAAAAAAATACAAAAAATTAGCTGGGAATGGTGGCACGTGCCTGTAGTTGCAGCTATTCAGGATGCTGAGGTGGGAGGATCACTTGAGCCCAGGAGGCAGAGGTTGCAGTGAGCCTAGATCGCACCACTGCATTCTAGCCTGGACAATGGAGTCAGACCCTGCCTCAAAAGAGAAAAAAAAAAAAGCCTCCTAATTGATCTTTTCCCAGATGCTCCTTGTCACATACTCTAAATGCCAACCCAAAATTGCTTGTAAAACCAGACACATAAAGTAATTCTCTATGTTTTTGCTTTTCCTTCATTTGCAACACCTAGCCCCTCCCTTTCTCCTATATCCTACTCATCTTTTAAGACTGACCACTAGCCTCGACTCCTCCAAGAAGCTATCCCTGATACCTACACTTCCTTCATTCTTTCCAATGTCAGCCTGGGTTATACGCTCCTCCTATTTTCCACAGTACTCTCTATAATATTTCCCTTACTACTCTATTTTATGTCCTCTGAGCTCTCTGAATTCAATGACAGTATCTTCTCCACCTCTGAGTGTCCAGAACCTAGCACAAAGTAAACATTCACTAAAAGCTCATTAAATAAATGAAGAAATGAACAGTGAAAAACACATATAAATTGTCTAGTCTAGCAGAATATATATCATTAGGCTGGGTGCAGTGGTTCACGCCTATAATCCCAGCACTTTGAGAAGCCAAGGCAGGCGGATCACTTGAGGTCAGGAGTTCCAGACCAGCCTGGCCAACATGGCAAAACCCCATCGCTACTAAATATACAAAAATTAGCCAGGCGTGGTGGCAGGCGCTTGTAATCCCGGCTACTTGGGAGGCTGAGGCTGGAAAGTCACTTGAATCCAGGAGATGGAGGTTGCAGTGAGCTGACAAAGTGCCACCACTGCACTTCGGCCTGGGCGACAGAGCAAGATTCTGTCTCAAAAAAAAAAAAAAAAAAAAAAAAAAAAAGAATATACATTATTATTGTCTACTGTTCTGCATGATTATTAGATTTACTTGATTCTTGCAGTTACCAACTGGCATTTTTAAACCTAATTTCCCAAAATCTTGGCAAGTAATTCTTCAATTCCTTCATTTTAAGGAACATTTTTAGGCCGGGCGCGGTGGCTCACGCCTGTAATCCCAGCACTTTGGGAGGACGAGGCGCGCAGATCACAAGGTCAGGAGATCAAGACCATCCTGACTAACTCGGTGAAACCCCCTCTCTATTAAAAATACAAAAGAAATTAGCCAGGCGTGGTGGCAGGCGCATGTAGTCCCAGCTACTGGGGAGGCTGAAGCAGGAGAATGGTCTGAACCCAGGAGGCGGAGCTTGCAGTGAGCGGAGATCGCGCCACTGCCCTGCAGCCTGGGCCTGGGCGACAGAGCAAGACTCCGTCTCAAAAAAAAAAAAAAAAAAGAAACATTTTTATATCACCCCCGTAATGCTTAACAGACATTTGCACTTGTAAGCAAGCATGCTGAAATATCTGTTCAAACTTAAAAAGTGCAAGAAATTAGATAAGCAATTATATTTAGGAAGTGTTCAAGCGCTAATGACTGGGGGTACAGGTGGGAAAGACAGAGTAAGTATAACAAAAGTTCAACCTATCACTCCTGTAATCCCAGCACTTTGGGAGGCCGAGGCGAGTGGATCACTAGGTCAGCAGATAAGAGACCACCTTGGCTAACACGGTGAAACCCTATCTCTACTAAAAATACAAAAAATTAGCCGGGCGTCGCGGCGGGCACCTGTAGTCCCAGCTACTTGGAAGGCTGAGGCAGGAAAATGGCGTGAACGCGGGAGGCGGAGCTTGCAGTGAGCCGAGATGGCGCCACTGCACTCCAGCCTGGGCAACAGAGCAAGACTCGGTCTCAAAAAACAACAAAAAAGTTCAACCTATTTGGTTATTGTTCATAACATTTCAATTAAAAAGTGAAATTCTGGCTGGGCACTGTGGCTCACGCCTGTAATCCCAGCACTTTGGGAGGGCGAGGCGGGCAGATCACGAGGTCAAGAGATCGAGACCATCCTGGCCAACATGTTGAAACCTCCCCTCTACTAAAAATACAAAAATTAGCCAGGCGTGGTGGCGCATGCCTGTATTCTCAGCTATTCAGGAGGCTGAGGCAGAAGAATTGCTTGAACCCGGGAGGCGGAGGTTGCAGTGAGCCAAGATGGCGCCACTGTACTCCAGCCTGACAACAGCAGAGCGAGACTCCATCTTAAAAAAAAAAAAAAAGGACAATTCAGGCCAGGCGCAGTGGCTCATGCCTGTAATCCCGGCATTTTGGGAGGCCGAGGCGGGCAGATCATCTGAGGTCAGGAGTTCAAGACCAGCCTGGCCAACATGGTGAAACCCCGTCTCTACTAGAAATACAAGAATTAGCCGGACGTGGTGCTAAGCGCCTGTAATCCCAGCTACTCAGCTACTCAGGAGGCTGAGGCAGAAGAACTGCATGAACCCAGGAGAGGCTGCAATGAGTAGAGATTGTACCACCGCACTCCAGCCTGGACGATAGAGCAAGACTCTGTCTCAAAAAAAAAAAAAAAAAATGCAATTCACTATTTATTTACTTATTTTTTTTTTAAGATAGGGTCTCACTCTGTCACCCAGGCCATCATAGCTCACTGAAGCCTCAACCTCCTGGGCTCAACCAATCCTCCTCCCTCAGCCTCCTAAGTGGCTGGGATTTCAAGTGTGTGCCACTTAGCCCGGTTAATTTTTAGGGGTAGAGACGGGGTCCCACTATGTTGCCCAGGCTGGTCTAGAACTCTTGGGCTCAAGCGATCCTTCTACTTTGGCCTCCCAAAGTGCTGGGATTACAGGCGTAAGCCACCACACCCACTGAAATTGACTATTTCATTGCTTCCTATAATTCCCAACTTTGACTTACCTTGGATTTCTTCTAAACTGTTCTAAATTAGTAAAATCAAGGTGTCTGGACTTTTCTGAAGCACTGTGTTCCAGTTACCTTTTTCCCCCAGAGTAAGTATTTTCAATCTCAACTATTCTTTAAAAGTTCTAAATGTGATCACAGGATTTTATCTACTTGAGATAATTAAGTCTCATATGAACTTAAAGAGGCAATACTATGGGATTGTGAAAAGAACACTAAATCTGGAGTTAGTGAAAATTTTCAATCCTGATTTACTCATGACTGGGAAGATCTAACCTCCAGGTTCTACCACTCTCTAAAATTTAAAATGAAAATTCCAGGATCTTGTCCAGATCCACTAGTGTGTGTATATATAAAGCACTCTATAAAATATCCAAATAGTGGTAATAACTAGAAAAATATAAAAATGCAATCTGTTGTTGAAACATTTAAACTAAGTCCATTGTCATATTTATTAAAATTATTTTCCCGTTATCATTATAACTAAGTCTAAACTTGTCACATTTGTACTTATTCAATACTGACAACAATTTCAAAAATAAGAGGGGCTATCCCTGGGTTTTTCAATAGTTGTTGTGTGACTGCTAAGCAAAAGGCCTTTAAAAAAATTTCACATATACTATACATACCCTGTTGTTCCTCTGCAATCCAATCAACCTTATCTGCATGTCTAGTATTATCTAACATTAATCTCTTCAAATCATTTCAGGAACAATACTGCTTCCAAAAGCAGTAATTTCAATTTAGAAGAACATCTTAAAAACAGAATACAGGCTGGACACAGTGGCTCAGGCTTGTAATTCCAGTACTTTGGGATGCCAAGGTGGGAGGATCACTGGAGCCCAAACATTCAACACTAGCCTAGGCAACACAGTAAGACCCCATCTCCACAAAAAAAAAAATTACAACTTAGCCCAGCATAGTGACAGGAGCCTGTGGTCCCAGCTACTTGGGAGATGGAGGCAGGGGGATCCCTTGAGCCTAGGAGGTCTAGACTGCAGTGAGCCATGATCGCACCACTGCACTCCATCAAGGCAACAAAGTTGAAATCCTATCACACACACATACACAAAAACACCAGAACAACAACAAAAAACCAGAATACCTTTGGAGCAAAAGAAAGCAAAATACTTCTATTTCAAAGATAAGGAAAATTCTCGTCACTCTGGAAAATAATTAAAATCATTCTTTTGAAATTCTGTAATACGTGAATATATGAATAGTAGTTTTTACTGTTAAAAGTGTCTCATGATACTTAGGTAAAACCAATGCAGCACAATGATAGGTTAAATAAAAATTCACTCTTCTTATTCTGTGATTTTAAAGTATTATCTACTCTCTATGATACTTCTCCTTTGCTACTGCTACTGCTACTGGGACACAGTTGCCCACCACAATCGGCGTGGTCCTCTCACAAAACACGCAGAAAATCAACAGTAACAACGGAAAACTCACACACACACACACACACACACACACAGTCTACAGTAACAAGACAAGAGGAAGAGGCAGTAGAAAGGGAAAAAGACTTTCTGACAAGGGGTAAGAGAGAGACAAAGGAAAGATAGAAGAGAGGAAAAATAAAAGGATAACAACAAAATCTGTTCTTCCAGAAATAATGATTTATGTTTATAAAACAGTTATGTTCCCAGAAAGTGAACCTTAGTATTACACAACAGAAAGTAATAAAGAGGCCAAGAATAAAAACAACTGAGACAGCAGTGTCAGAAATATTCCAAACTCCAACTAATTTCATATAAACGTGTATTTTTCTCTGACCTAATCATCAATTTTATGTAAAAGACTAAAACTAATCAAGACACCTTACAGTACTAAATAAACAGTAATCACGAATCTTAGACATCACGGAAATTCAGAGCTGGAAATTTCCTTACCAATCGTCCAGCTCAACTTACACACCACTCAGAGGAAGAAACTGAGGCTCAGTCTTGTAAAATATCTACAACCACAAACAACTGCAGAACTCAGGAAATCTAGAATTCTTTGTTCATCTACACTGGCTCTGACTTTATGAGCAAATTATTTACTGTCAACCATAAATTTAAAATTATAAAATTCTGTCACATCTAACAATAGCTTTCTGGCAGCCAGATCAGAAGTAAACACCTCATAACATAGCACCGTTCACACAAATTAAAACATAAAAGTAGAAATACTTCACAAGGAAATTAACAAAAGGTCCTAACTTGAGAAAAAACAAAGATTTGATATTGTGAATGAAACGTTCAGACGTTTAGATTAAGGAGGATAACACTTGGAAGTACTTCTTTGGATGTATGGCGAGAATAAAAAGAATGTTCAACAAGGCCTATTTTTGTGCGTGATTCTTTGCAGCCAAATCATTTGGTAGATTTCTATTGCCATTCGCCTTTCTGATTAAATAGTAACTTACTTATCAAGCTTCTTCTCAAATTTCAGTCCCGTATAAGTTAAGAATTTAACCACAAGGTTGTTTATCTCCTCTACATACATGTCACTAGGATCTGAGTAGACCCCTTTACAGCCAATCAAAGTGAGGCTGCCGTGAATGTAAAAGCTTCTGCTTTAGGTTTGGGGCCTAAAACCCTGGATTTGTTTCCAGACAAGACTGATACGTTAGGTTGATTTTTTTTTCTTCCACACAAGTAAACTTGATACATGCTATTAAATTGGGCTACATTTCAATAGTTCCCATAGCAATTCATAATTTTATATACAACTGATTTGCTTCCAGCTTTGTTTTAACCTAGGAGAGGTAGGTGAGGGAGGAAAGGGGCAAGCACAAGCCTAAGGTTGTTGTTTTTAACTGCAAGTGCAAAACATAAGCCAATTTTCTTCAAAATACTAAGCTGCATTTTGTTCCATCTTCGTTTTCAACAAGACTTCATGTGATATCAACACCTAAGGACCTGTATAGGGCACTTCCAATCGGGAGGGGTAGGTTTCTGCTCCCCTAAGAAAAAGGGTGTTCCTGGGGTTCCCTTCTCTTACCCTCCCGGTTGCTTTTACTAAAATATATTGATGGCAAACTTGGGCCCCTTGTCCTTTTGTCCCCCTAGACAATCTCTGGCCTAATTTTGATTACTCCTCCCCCTGTGTATCCCTGCTCTCTCTTAATTAGAAATCATACCTCAGAATCGTGCCTCTCTTCCCCCCTTGTAAGAGGAGAACGCCTGACCCACCACCTGGAGAACAATGTAACCCAACTCCGAGTCCATGGATTCCTCTACCCAAGCCCCAAGATTTATCTCCCAGGGAAATCAGAAAGCCAGTTCTGTCCTGTCATCCCGGATTCCCTCAAGGTGTCCTGCTCCTGGTCTAGGATTACCAGCTCCTTTCTACCCTGGGGCATTCTACTCACCTTCCTTTTCCAAGAATCTCGCCCCTCACCCTCGGACCCTTCACCGCGACCCCCGCGCCCACCCGGAGCAGCACAACAGGCGGCGAGTGGCCTCCGAGGGCAGAGCCCGCGAGGGCGGGGGTCGGGGGCGGGTCGAGAGCGGCGCAGCGGCGGCCGGCCACGTCGGGTCAGTGCCCCACTCCCACCGCAGGACACACGCCCAGTACCTTTGTAGTGCACCCGCAGGTTGTTCTGAGAGAGGCCGATGTAGCTGAACTTGTCCTTCGGGCTCCAGGACCGAGGCAGCGGCGTCTCTTGTTCGTCCACGGCCGGGTAGAGACGCTTCAGCCGCCGCTGCAACTCCTTCTCCTGCTCGTTCAGGGCCGAGTCCCCGTGAGGGAAGGGGGCCGCGGCGCTGCTGCCCGCCACCAGAGCTGGGGTCGGGGCTCCTCCAGCCGGGCCGGGGCCCGCTGCAAGGCCCGGGGGAGCGGGCGGCCCGCTGGCGGGGGCAGCCGCTGAGGCAGGGGGAGGCGGGGGCGGCGGCGGGGGCGGCGGGGCCGCGGTGGCCGGGGGCGGCGGCGGCGGAGGGTGGAGGAGCAGGGCGGCCGCCGCGGCCCCTAAGCCTTCGCCGCCCGCACCGCCGCCGGGCGAGCCGGCCGGAGAAGAGCCGGCGCTGACGGCCGGGGGCGCCGGCAGGACGACTCCGGAGACTGGGGCCAAGGCCGCCGGCGGTGGCGGCGACAGCTGCTGCTGCTGTTGCTGCTGCTGCGGCGGCGGCGGCGGCGGCTGCCCGGACATCCCGGCCGCGACTCAGCCTGCGGCCACCTCCACCTCTTCTCTCCTTCCTCCTCTGCTTCCCGGGGGCGCTGTCGCTGCGGCCGCCGGCACCAGGCGCCCAGTCCGCCCGCCCCGGAAGCAGGCGGCGGGCCGCGCGCCCAGGGAGACCGCGGCGGTTGAGGAGCTCGGAGACGCGGGAGTAGGCGGCGGGCCCGGGAGGCCGGGAGAGAACGTTGGCCGGAGCGCGGGCGCGCGGCCCGGGGACGAGGCGCCGAGGGCGGGGGCGACGCGGGAGCGCGGGAGGGGAAGGCGCGCTGGCGGCCGCCGCGGCCGCTGCTCTCGCGGCTGTTTCCCGGCGGGCGGGCCGGGCCGGCGCGAGACGCTGCGCGCGGGCGGCGCTAGGCGAGGGGGCGGGACGGAGGCGCGAGAGAGGCGCGAGCGGTGCGAGGGGGCGGGCCGCGGGGCTCCCGGCTGTGCGCCGCGAGGCGTCCTCCCGGGCCCGCCAGTCGCTCGTGGGCAGGATCGCTGGGCTCCCGGCGCCGCAGGTCCCTTCGGAGGTGTCCGCCTCCTCTCCCTTGGCGGCCGCCGTCGCCCCCCTCGCCGGCGAATCCCCTCCCACTTGACTTCTTTTTGTTGTCGTCGCCCCACCTCCCCACCGTAGGGCTCCTCGGAGCCGAGGCGCCGCTTCTCGTCCAGGCGAGAGTAATCGAGCCCCGCTGGGGCCGCCGCGAGCCCAGGCCCCGGGGCGCTCTAGGACCCGTCGGCCCGGGGCGTGCGGAGCGGCTCAGGCTCCCCGCGCAGTGCTGCTAGCTCTCGCCTCAGTCCCGTTCCCGTTTGCCGCCTCCCTCCAAAGAGGAACGCATTGCCTTTGGTACTTCAGTGTTTAATTCCGTAGCATTGACCATATGGGCAGTAGAAACCACTTCTGAAGGCAGTCTCCCACTTAGAATAGTGACTGTTTCATTAATTAATTTTACGAGGACTCACAGTGAACTTAACAGTGGTAGAAGATGTCATTAATAAAGACCGGCATATCTTCAAAAAGCAGGAGCAGGCACTGTATGAATACAAGATTATAGTGTGTGTTTAGGAAGGGCTTCTAGAGACGTCAGAACATTTTATAGACTCGTTAATTTTCATAACAGGGTTCTTAGGTAACAGAAAATTATGCCCATTTTTAAAACAAGGAAATATTTACCGAGATCAGCAGAGTCAAAAATAGGACTTCCTACTTTGCAATTCCCAATAGAATGCTTCGTCGACTAATTTGGCACAACTTGCCAAGTGTTGCTCTCTGACCCATCATAACATTACTACTTTGTTTTCACCACTTCCCTTTGTTTAGCTTATCCCTCCCTAGCTGGCAAAATCAGGCTTTGCATATGTAAATTGTGTGATGTAAATTCTGATATTTTGTTTGCTTCCAAAGATATGATGGTAATCATTTGGTCAAATAAGAAATGTTTTGCCGAAGAGAAAATTATTTCGTTTTGAAGAAGGTAGGCCAAAGGTGATTTAATTTAAGGCCAAGATTATCTGGCCAGAACAAATAACAGAGTCATTCGGCCTAATTTCTCCCTCAGTTACCCAGACAACTAGATGTTCTGTTGTACTTTTATTATTATTATTATTATTGTTTTGTCGCCCAGGCTGGAGTGCAGTTGTGTGGTCTCAGCTCACTACAACTTCCGCCTCCCGGGTTCAAGCGATTCTCCTGCCTCAGCCTCCCAAGTAGCTGGGACTACAGGCATGTGCTCACACCCAGCTAATTTTTGTACTTGTAGTGGAGACGGGGTTTCACCATGTTGGCCAGGCTGGTCTCGAACTCCCGACCTCAAGTGATCTACCCGCCTCAGCCTCCCAAAGTGCTGGGATTACAGGCGTGAGCCACCATGCCTGGCCTCTGTTGTAGTTTGATAGAAATATCCATTAATTTTAACCTGTTGTTTGATGACTTTTTTTAAACCACTGCACTTTGAATCACATGATGTCACTGTATTTACAGTGTTCTAACACTTTCATTTATATTACAGTAACAATGAGTTCAATGTAAGCCAAGCTCTATTTAAATGTACGATAGCCATGTTAGAATAAATGGGCTCCAGACGTCATTAAACTTTCTTGAAACACTTTTGAAGATGTACTTTTTTTCTGTCAGCACACTTAGGAACTATCTAGAACTTTCCGTATCTTAGGAACAGCTGAAGGAATAGAATTGTCTAACATTTTGTTGGAAGCATTTTATAAGGGGGACTGGTGGTTCTCCATCAAGAAATTAATGATTTCAGTTGTGGGGGAGGATGCTGTGAAATGAGTACTTTCTCATATAGAAGGAGATAGAGAACATTGATAACGTCCTTTTGGAAAGCTACATACTTGGTTATATTTATAAGGAGACATAAAGGAGTTCATACCTTTTGACTTATCTATCAAAAAGCCAAACAACACAATCTAAATATGAAAATACTTTAGGCTGAAAAATGTTCCACAAGAAGTATTAATGGTAGATTAAATATAGAAGCAAATCAAATGCCCAACCGGAAGAGACTAGAAGAAATTCTAGTCACATGTGAAATTCTAATCACATACCCCACTCAGTGGAGTTATGCTACAGGAGCACATATAGCACATTCGTGCCATTTTTTTTTAAGGTATCCCTTCTGGGCAGTGGAAGTGCCAAAAGAGGTCAACCAATTAGAAAAAGGCACCCCTTCCTCTTGACTTAGTGGATCCTGGGCCCACCTTCAGACCCACTCTCTCCAGGCTTCTTGCACAGGCACAGCCTGAAACAAATATTTTATGGCCTCTTAAAAATATGTTATTGAAGACATAGAAAAATGATTATGATATGCTAAATGAAAAGAGGCAATACGATAATTATAGCACTGCCAAAATCATTACCAAAAAGACATGAAGGAAAAATTGTAAAATGTTTCCATAATGGACAATTATAATGCATTATTAAAAGTAATGTACTTTTATTATGAAAATAATAGAATTGTACATAGATATGTAAATAGTAAAAATCCATTAGCCATGAACATATCCACACCCTTCTTGAACCTATGTTTTCAGTCTTTACCATGTATTGCTCTAATATTACCCAGTATCTGTATCTGCTGGGTTTCTCAGTATCGAACAATAGGAACCAATTCTGGCTCTCTTAAGCAAAAAAGGAACTTACTGGAAAGATATTAGATGGTTCTCAGAATTGACCAGAAGGCTGGACAAGCAGGCCTGAAAACTGACAATGGCCAAAGGAGGAGAGGCTGCATAAATAGACTGGCCTGGACCCCAGCACTGATCACAGAAATCACTGCCAGATGTCACCTTCAACACCTGGACTCTTATCTCTCTGACCTCCAGCCTTTACACCACTCACTCAAGTTTCAAAGTCACCAAGCCTAGATTGTGTGCCCATGCCAGAATACACCAGCAAGCAGAGATTCCCAGGTTATCCAGTGACTGGGTTACAGAGATGCTACGTTATTGATAACTTCAGCTCAGGGTGGGCCTTGAGTGGTTACAGCCACCAGAACTGGTCCCTTCCAACAGTGAGCAGTCTTGTGCATTCAGAGTACCATACACATCTTATTTTCTGTGCATGGCATAACATGAAAATGTTTAGGACACATTGCCCTAGTGGAAAAGGGCCACTGGTGCCCACAGTAGAGGATTTTCCATACTAGGAAAGATACTAGGAAAGAGGTAAGATGCTGACCAGCCTGTTTCAGTCAATGCCCATGACAGTATCCTTCTGAGTACTGGAAAATGTTATGGCAATGTGTGCCAAGATCTATAGTATGGTTTTAGGGTCTGGATTAGTTATCTATGGCTGCAGAATAAATAATCCTCAAATTTAGTGGCTTAAAATAACGTTTATTATCACACATTTTCTGTGGGTCAGGAATCTGGCACAACTTCACTGGATCCTCTGCTTCAGGGTCTCTCATGAGCATTAAAGGTGTCAGTTGGGGTTGCAGTCATCTCAAGACTTGACTGGGGAAGAATCCACTTTCACACTCACTGATGTGGTTATCACACTCATTGATGCAGTTCCTTGAGGGCTGCTGGACTAAGGGATTCAGTTTCTTGTTGGCTATTGGCCAGAAGTGGCCCATGATGCCTTGCCACATGGGCACCTTCAACATGGCAGCTTGCTTCATGAAAGCATGCAAGCCAAGGCAATCGTGGCAAGACAAAAGTTACAGTGTTTTGTAACCCAACCACGGAAGTGACATCCCATCACTTTTGCCATATGTTTGTTAGAAGTGAGTCATCAGTTTCATCCCATATTCAAGGGGAGGGGATTACACAAGGCTATGAACACAAGAAGGTGAGGATCATTGAAGGCCGTCTTTGGAAACTGACTCATACAGGGTCCTTGTAACTTCCAGTGACCCTGGGGAACTGCACTTGCCACATTCACATCAAATATGGATTCTAGACCAGGGATCAGCAAACTTTTTCTGTAACAGGTTAGATAGTGAATATTTTAGGCTCTGCGGAACATAGTTACCTGTCGCAACTACTCAATTTTGCCATTGTAAATGAAAGTAACCATAGATGATACATAAACAAACGGGCATGGCTGTGATCCCGCAAAACTTTATTTACAAACATAGGGAGCAGCCTGGATTTGCCCTACAGGCTTCAGTTTGTGATTCCTGTTCCAGACTATTACATCAACGTTCCTTATAAACCATTCTCAACACTAAAAATGAAAGCCAAGTCACTAGCAATGAAATCCTAGGAGTCAACAAATTCATTTTATTACCCACAATGCGTGCTGCACTCCAGTGTCCGAGGCAGCCTGATGCCACACGAATGGAGTAAGCATATTTCTGCACGTAGTGTGGCAAATTCAAATGGATGACAAATGGCTGAACAATGTTAGTAAACTATAGCAATAAAGGGTCCAAGTTTGGGAAAGTTCTCAGTCAGCATTTATGAAGCACCTGTTATGTTGGAACCCTGGGTCCTGTCTTCTCTAGGCAGGGAATGAAGAAAAGAGGCAAGACAGATTACAAAGAAAAACAGCAGTATGGAATCTACTTCTTCGGTGAACAGTCTAGTTGGAAAGTGATACGGTTTTGAGAGATGACAGCATGTTGGGAGCCCTCGCTCACTCTGGGTGCCTCCTCGGCCTCGGCACCCACACTGGCCGCGCTTGAGGAGCCCTTCAGCCCGCCGCTGCACTGTAGGAGCCCCTCTCTGGACTGGCCGAGACTGGAGCCGGCTCCCTCTGCTTGTGGGGAGGCGTGAAGGAAGAGCTGCGGGCGGAAACCGGGGCTGTGCGCGGCGCTCGCGGGCCAGGGCAAGTTCCGGGTGGGCAGGGGCTCAGCAGGCCCCGCACTCGGAGCGGCCGCCTGGCACCGCCGGCCTCAGGCAGTGACGGGCTTAGCACACGTGCCAGCAGCTGCAGAGGGTGCGCCGGGTCCCCCAGCAGTGCCGGCCTGCCGGCGCTGCGCTGGGATTCTCACCGGGCCTCAGCTGCCTCTCCGCGGGGCAGGGCTCTGGACCTGCCAGCCCGCCATGCCCGAGCCTCCCCACCGCCATGGGCTCCTGCACTGCCCGAAGCCTCTCCGACAAGCGCCGCCCCTTGCTCCGTGGCACCCCGTCCCGACTGCTCAAGGGCTGAGGAGTACGGGTGCCCGATGCGGGACTGACGGGCAGCTTCGCCTTTGGCGTGGGTGCGGGATCCACCAGGTGAAGCCAGCGGAGTCTCTGAGTCTAGCTGGGATTTGAAGAACTTTTATGTCTAGCTGGAGGATTGTATACACACCAATCAGCACCGTGTCTAGCTCAAGGTTTGTAAATGCACCAATCAGTGCTGTGTCTAGTTAATCTGGTGGGGACTTGGAGAACCTTTACGTCTGGCTAAAGGATTGTAAATACACCAGTCAGCACTCCGTGTCTAGCTAAAGGTTTGTAAACACACCAATGAGCACCCTGTGTCTAGCTCAAGGTTTGTAAATGCACCAATCAGTGCTCTGTGTCTAGCTAATCTAGTGGGGACTTGGAGAACTTTTGTGTCTGGCTCAGGGATTGTAAACGCACCAATTAGCACCCTGTCAAAAGGGACCAATCAGCTCTCTGTAAAACGGACCAATCAGCAGGATGTGGGTGGGGCCAGATAAGGGAATAAAAGCAGGCTGCCCGAGCCAGTTGTAGTACCACGCTGGGGTACCCTTACGCTTTATGGAGTGTTTGTTATTTTGCTGTTTGTCATAAATCTAGTTGCTGCTTACTCTTTGGGCTTGTACTGCGTTTATGAACTGTAACACTGACTGTAAAGGTCTGCACTTTCATTCTTGAGGCTGGGGTGGTCAGTAACTGACTGCAAAAAATAAACTATTCTGGAGGAGAAGAAGGAATAATTCAATGCGCCACCTCTAAAAGCTATAACGCTTGTCACGAAAGTCTGCAGCTTCACTCCTGAAGCCAGTGAGACCACAAACCCACCAGTAAAGGAGAGACTGCATATGTCTGACCATCAGAAGCAAGAAACTCCAGACACACACCACCTTTAAAAACTTAACAGTCACCAGGAGGGTCTGTGGTTTTTCTTGAAGTCAGTGGGAACAAGAACCCACCAGTTTTGGACAGTTTGGTGGTGTCCCCACCCAAATCTCATCTTGAATTACAGTTGTGATGATCCCCATGTGTCGTGGGAGAGACCTAGTGGGAGGTAATTGAGTCATGGGGTTACCTACCTTCATGCTGTTCTCATGATAGTGAGGTCTCACCAGATCTGGTGGTTTTACAACGGTCTTTATCTGCCTGTTTTTTTCTGCACTTTTCTTTGCTGCTGTCTTGTGAGGAAGGATGTGCTTGTGTCCGTTTCCACCGTGGTTGTAAGTTTCCTGAGGCCGCCTCAGCCATGCTGAACTGTGAGTCAAACCTCTTTTGTTTATGAATTACCCAGTCTCAGAAATGTCTTTATTAGCAATGTGAGACTGGACTAATGCAGAGTGGTGAGATGATTAACAGTTGTCGCCTCCGTATCCATCCATAGGGCATTGGTTTCAAGAACTGTGGAAAACAAAATCCACAGAGGCCCAAGTCTCTTATATAACATGATGTTATATAAAAATTTGGATAATAAAATGAATTTGCCTGTAACTTACATCGTCTCCTGTATACTGAAATCACTTCTAAATTACTTCAATATTAAACATAATGTGATCCTGTGTAGTTGTGATACTGTATTGTTTAGGGAATCATGGCAAGGACAAAAAGTCTGTTCGGGACAGACAGAACAATCATAGGTCTAACTACATCTTTGGTCTTCGGTTGAATCCAAGGTTGCAAACCTTCAGACACGGAAGGGCTGACTGCACACATGAATTAGAGAGCAGTGATTTTCAGACTTGAATGTGGAGATTTGCCAAATGGGACCTGACAGTCTACATTTCTAACAAGCTTCCAGGGGCTGCTGCCACTCCTGATCCATGGATTAGCCCCTGAATAGCAAGGACTGGGAGAACAAGTCTTGCTCTGTCCCGCAGGCTGGAGTGGCCCGATTATAGCTCACTGCAGTCTCCAAAGCCTGGGTTCAAGGGATCCTCCCACGTCAGCCGCTGAAGTAGCTAGGACTACAGGCACATGCTACAGTGCTCAGCTGATTTTTTTTTTTAATTGTAGAGACAGGGGTCTTGCAATGTTGCCCAGGCTGGTCTCGAACTCCTGGACTCAAGGGAGCCTCCTGCCTTGGCCTCCCAAAGTGCTGGGATGACGGGCAGGAACCACCACAGCCAGCCTCAGTTGATGCTCTTTAGAAACAAGTGTTCCAGAGTCCATGGGCAGATACACAAAAGTCTAGTGAGGGCGGACTCTGCCTCAGAATTTGTGTGCTGTCTTGAAGAGAACACGAGGGGGGTGCTGGCTGTTTTACCACAAACCAAGAGACTGCATCCCTGGGGTTTGGGGTTCAGGGTGAAAAGGGTCTGCAGGGCCACATGGAATAACATAAATATACTATTTCATATTCATGTGTGAATAAAAGTGGTTACAATTCAGTGTTCATGAAGTAAAATCTATGTGAAAAACCAAAAGTTAAATTTAGAGGAAACTTTTATCATCTGTTCTAGAAGAATTTGTACAAAAATTACAATTTGGGCTGAAATAACCTAAGCTAATGACTTTTTGACAAATTAATAGGCTCTCAATCTCCTTCTGATTTTCCTCCTAATTTTTCCTTCTGCTTGTTCTAGTCCACTGTAGCCCTTCCTCAGTTGCCAGAACTCACATCCTTCCATCCATACTGATCTCTATGTCTCCTCTTTCTTGTTTCCTTGAGACAGGGTCTCACTTTGTCACCCAGGCTGGAATGTAGAGCCACAATCATGGCTCACTGCAGCCTTGGCCTCCTGGGCTCAAGTGATCCTCTCACCTCAGCCTCCCAAGTAGCTGCGACTACAGGCATGCACCACCACACCTGGCTGACTTTTTTTGTGATTTTTTTGAAGAGACATGGTCTCCCTATGTTGCCCAGGCTGCTGTCAAACTCCTGGCCTCAAGTGATCCTCCCGCCTCAGCCTCTCAAAGTGCTGAGATTACAGGCATGAGCCACCCGCCTGACCCTCTTTCTTGTTTCTTGATGGTTGACATTAAAAGTGCATTCAAAATGCAGTAATGGCAGGGCATGGTGGCTCACACCTGTAATCCTGGTACTTTGGGAGGCTGAGGTGGGAGGATTGTTTGAGGCCAGGAGTTTGAGACCAGCCTGGGCAACATAGGGAGACCTCATCTCTACTATAAATAAATAAATAAATAAATAGTAAAAATAGAGGCCGGGTGCGGTGGCTCATGCCTGTAATCCCAGCACTTTGGGAGGCTGAGGTGGGCGGATCACGAGGTCAGGAGTTCAAGACCAGCCTGACCAACATGGTGAAACCCCGTCTCTACTAAAAATTAGCCGGGCGTGGTGGCATGCACCTGTAAACCCAGCTACTCAGGAGGCTGAAGCAGGAGAATTGCTTGAACCTCGGAGGCAGGGGTTGCAGTGAGCCGAGATTGTGCCACTGCATTCCAGCCTGGGCTACAGAGCAAAACTCTGTCTAAAAAAAAAAAAAGTAAAAATAGAGTAACTATAGGGAACAGATAGCAGGAATTCATTTCCTCCCTTGGTGCTACAGTGATCAAGTTCTTGATGGAATCATGGGATGGGAAGCCTACCCCAGAATGTCTCTGAACTCCAGGGAATGCCCCCTGCAGGTCTAGGAAGTGCCTATGGGTGCAGTGGCTGGAATATCATGCAGGCAGCCAAAGGCATAGTTTGGAGGGAAGAAACAGGAAGAAAGGAAGATGAAAGACAAAAATAGAAAGCATAGAAAAAATAAAAAAGAAGAAAATGATCATTCTTTAAGAAAATGATAAATAGCTCCCCAAGGTGCCAGATATCATTGAGGAGAATAACTCACCAACCCACTGTGGGTTAGGCTCCTAGTTCCCCAAGATGCAGGCTGCATTCCATTCATTATCTACTGAGTGCCTATTATGTGCCTATTGTGTGTACACAGCGCTAGGAAGCATAGGGGAAAACATTTTTAAGGGACACTAACATCTTTACCCTCAACTGGTTTATAGTTTTGTAGGAAATTGACTTACACAACCAGTTTTTCAAGGTAGAATATGAATAGTGTTCTAAGAGAGACAAAAAGTGCCATAGGTTTTTCTTCTTTTTTTGAGACAGAGTCTCACTCTTGTCGCCCAGGCTGGAGTGCAATGGCACAATCTCGGCTCACTACAACCTCCACCTCCTGGGTTCAAGCAATTCTCCTGCCTCAGCCTCCTGAGTAGCTGGGACTACAGGCGCCCACCACACACCTGTCCAATTTTTGTATTTTTAGTAGAGATGGGGTTTCAACATGTTGGCCAGGCTGGTCTATAATTCCTGACTTCAGGTGATCTGCCCGCCTTGCCCTCACAAAGTGCTGGCATGAGCCACCACACCTGGCCAGGTTTTTTTCTAATATCCTAGGAAAAGTAATTGTCCAGCCTATTGTAAGAATGTAACCCATTCTTACAAGTAAAATGAATTCTTCAATCTAAGTTTCTTTATATCTAGGCTACAGCATGGAGATAATTGATACAAATATTTTCTTATCATCATGGTCCTCAAAGAAAGTACCAGGCCTAATTTGCAATCTAAGTAAACATAAAAAGAAAGTTGTTTAGTAAAGCAATTTATTTCATAAGTCACTATTTCTTTCACCATAGCCATATACTATCTTATGCTTAGTAATGAATTTTTAAAAAACATTTTTATTTGTTTTCCTTAAGTGCCTTCAAAGATATGCTGGGAAAAATATGCTCAGCAATACGTGAGACTTCCCAAAACTGCAATATTTCAAAGATGTCAGAGCATCTGTATCTTAAAAAGCAGCATAGGCCGGGCGCAGTGGCTCACACCTGTAATCCCAGCTCTTTGGGAAGCCAAGGCAGGCGGATCACGAGGTCAGGAGTTCGAGACCAGCCTGGCCAACATGGTGAAACCTCATCTCTACTAAAAATACAAAAAATAGCTGAGTGTGGTGGTGGGCACCTGTAATCCCAGCTACTCGGGAGGCTGAGGCAGGAGAATCGTTTGAAACCTGGAGGCAGAGGTTTCAGTGAGCCGAGATCCCGCCATTGCACTCCAGCCTGGGTGACAGAGTGAGACTCCGTCTCAAAAAAATAAAAAAATAAAAAATAAAGGCAGCATAAATAATAAAATGGCTTCAAAATACTTTTTTTTAGTATTTTTCTGCTTCAGCTGCAATTAGTTTATTTTGCAAATATTTAACTTTGAAACAGGCATCAGTTATTTAAAGAGAGGTAGCATTGTCTGTGGAATTACCGGTCTGGCTCTTAATATCACCAACAGTCCCCCACATGTGCCTTATGCCATTGTCTATATGAAAACTTCTCATAGATAATAGATCTTTGACATTCTTAAGAGGCCCAGATCTTTCTGAATCCTTAAACTGTAAATCTCATGAAACAATATTATATCATCCCATAAAATTCAGTAAGTATAATTTGAATAGTCTACATGATTGAAGAACAACAAAGCCACACTGACATGTGGCTGTTGAGTGGTTGACTAGGCTACGTGTTTCCATGCAGTGCACTAACCTTAACACACATGGGATGCTATTAGCGCTTGGTAAAATTATGGCAAAACGGCCTTCTGCATTGCTTCTAAAGAGTCAAGACTGGCCAGGGTGCGGTGGCTCACACCTGTAATCCCAGCACTCAGGGAGGCCGAGGTGGGCAGATCACTTCAGGTCAGGAGTGTGTAACCAGCCTGGCCAACATGGTGAAAACCCATCTCTACTAAAAATACAAAAAATTAGCTGGGCGTGGTGCCGAGTGCCTGTAATCCCAGTTACTTCGTAGGCCAAGGCAGGAGAACTGCTTGAACCCGGGAAGCAGAGGTTGCAGTGAGCCCAGATCGCTCCACTGCACTCAACCCTGGGCGACAGAGTGAGACTCCGTCTCAAGAAAAAAAAGAAAGGAGTTAAGATTGTGGATGTTCAATGTGAGTCTAAATGTACAAGTTAGACTGTACAAGCTAAATGTACAAGCTCTGATCAGGTTCTTCAAATATATACACCCCTCCTTATCTTCCTGTGGTTGTGCACACCCACGTTTATAAACACTGTGGTAGAACCAAAAATGGCACCCTAGAAAGCTGTCCACCTCAAATCCCTAGAACCTGTGACTCTGACTTTATTTGGTAAAAGGGTCCTTGCAAATGTCATTAAGTTAAGGATCTTGAACAAGATCATCCTGGATTATCCTTGCAGGCCCTAAATCCAATGACAAGTATCCTTATAAGAGAGAGGCAGAGGGAGATTTGAGACAGAAAAGACACGCAGAGAAGGGAAGACCGTGTGAAAATGGAGCCTAGAGAGATGCTGCCACAAGTCAAGGAATGCCACCAGCCACCAGAACCTGGAAAAGGCAAAGAATGGACCCTCTCCTGTGGAGCTGGAGGGAGTGTAGCCCTATGACATCTTGATTGCAGACTTCTGGCCTCCAGTGCTGTGAGAGAATAAACTTCTGTTGTGGTAAGCCACCAAATTTGTGGCCATTTGTTACAGCAGCCCTTGGAAACCAATCCACACATACACACACTGCAAACTTTTTAGGTTTCAGGAAAAATGTTGCACAAAGTTGTTAAGACAATTAGGTATACTGTGCATTGTAGAAGCCAGAGTGATATAACAATCACAGTTCTCTCATCAAAATCAAAGCACTTTCTATTTGAAAGTACTTTTCTGTAAGATACAGAGCTTGGTTATATAAATTATGTACGTCAATAAGGCAATCTAGGCTCACTGCTTGTCTTCATAATTTTATAGCTCTCTCTCTCTCTCTCGGTTCTGGCCACATTTCAGTAAAGGAAGGGGTTATATAAGCATTCTGGTTTGATGGAAAAGTAATTTTATGATTGAAGTATGAACTGAAATGGCTCTTCCACTGGGCAGAGGCATTAATGCCATAAAACTGCCTTTAAGGGACTATTAGAGGGTCACCATGACTGCTGCAGCTCAGGGCTGTTACTTTCTAACCATTACATGCCTAATGTCATGTGTATTATGCTTTAATAACTATTTAAAAATTTGACCCCATAAGGACAATTTTGTAGGGTAGGTTAGGTGTCCCAGATCAGGTTTCCTAGAAACGGAGGCTGAGATGGGGTTTCTGGTACCTGTGATCTTTTGACAGAGTGCTCTCAAGTGAAATGTGTAGGGGAATAAGGGAAGTAAACTAGCACGGGGAGGAAGCCAGGCGAAGATGTAAGCTCGGTGAGGTCTGGCTCCAGCCTAACCCCACAGGAAGCTCTGGAGTGTGTGTGCACCATGCAGTCATCCCACCTTAAGGCAAGAGTCCAGGGCTTTTAAAGCCTGTATTAACCACTCATTAGCTGCAGACCACATTCCTCCCTGGGGTGGTATAACATCCGAGGGATCTCTGGGCAAGGAGGTGAGGGTGTGGCTATGAGTCACTGGCAACATTCCCTGTGGCCTGAGATGGGTGCATCAGCAGGTGACAGGACATGCTCAGGGCACCAAGAGCATCCAAGGATGCTTTTTTTTTTTTTTTTTTGAGATGGAGTCTCACTCTGTCACCCAGGCTGGAGTGCAGTGGTGCCATCTCAGCTCACTGCAACCTTCGCCTCCCAGATACAGATGATTTTAATGCCTCAGCCTCCTGAGTAGCAGGGATTACAGGCTCCTGCCACCCCACCAGGCTAATTTTTGTATTTTTAGTAGAAACGGGGTCTACCATGTTGGCTAGGCTGGTCTCAAACTTCTGACCTTAGGTGATCCACCTGCCTCGGCCTCCCACAGTGCTGGGATTACAGGTGAGAGCCACTGCACCTGGCCTTCCAGTCACATTTCTAATCACACACCTGATCATTTCAATGACTACATCTGCCTTAAGAGAACTCTCTGAATGTTGGCATTACTGAGCAATGTTGGAATGTCACAAGTCTTGCAAATATGTCCATCAAATAAGTTCACATTTTAATAGGTTTAATCTGGGAAGAGGGTCTTTCATAAAGAGACGATTTTTAGAATACGTGTGTACGTAGGAACACAAGCCCGTAAGTTTGGCTGTTGCCACCATGCTCATTACTGACCTTCATCATGTTTATTTTCATGGTCCATATGCCTTTTTCTACTCTCTGTTGACCATGTGAAAGTCTGTCTGTGTCAGCATGGTTTACCTTAGTTTATAAGGTCCTCATAGGTATAGGTCACAACTATTTACTGTTCTCTATGTTGCATGTTGCACAATTATGGGTTTAACAACTGCTTCTTGTTGATATAGGGATGTAACTCTGCTTTTTTATTATGGCAATGATATTCTATTTGATAATTGCCCAGGCCTTAAACATATGACTAAGGCATCATCCTGAGCAGGACTTGCAAACTCAAATACCTCCATGAGCCAGGTAGATAATGTAAAAGAGTGAACCAGGTCGGGTATAAAACAATAACAGAGTGGAGAGCATAAAGGAATTTCAAATCAAAACGTTCCAAACACTTCACAGGTCAAACAAAACACCTCTGTGGGTCAGATCTGGCCAATGGTTCACCAGTTAGTGGCCTAAAGGCTAGGTCTGAACTCAAAGCCGGAAACTCAGGCCAATTACAGGTGTCCTGGATCTGTCTTAGGTTTGCCAAAAGCTATCATTACTTGTCCCTGCCTACCGTGGGTGATCTGAAATACCAGATTTTTCAGTCATGCTGCCCTGCCTGTAGAACCAGACCTGGAGATTTTGAGATACTTCCTGGCTTGCCAGGGAAATCTGAGTCATAGGTGCCCCATTTACTTAACACAACCACAAAAAAACACCTTCAAAGAGCCTATTTCCTATTGTAGTGCCCTATATCTAGGAGGCACTCCTTAAATACTTCTTGATGACACAAGCAAGCTACTTTCATAATGCTTGATTTCAAGTCTTTATAACCCATCCAGTGGTCTTCATTCTAAGAATTAAGTGTAGGGGCTGGGCACGTTGGCTCACACCTGTAATCCCAGCTCTTTGGGAGGCCGAGGCGGGCAGATCACGAGGTCAGGAGATCAAGACCATCCTGGCTAACACGGTGAAACCCCATCTCTACCAAAAATACAAAAAATTAGCCGGGCGTGATGGCGGGCACCTGTAATCCCAGCTACTCGGGAGGCTGAGGCAGGAGAATGGCGTGAACCCAGGAGGCGGAGCTTGCAGTGAGCCGAGATCACGCCACTGCACTCCAGCCTGGGAGATAGAGAGAGACTCCGTCTCAAAAAAAAAAAAAAAAAAAAAAGAATTAAGTGTTCACAGTTTAATTATGATGCAAAGATTACATATACTATACCAAGTGTTGACAAGGATGTGCAGAAATCAGAGCCCTGATACGCTCAGACACTGCAGGTGTGAAAACAGTATGGCAGTTCCTCCAAGCTTAAACTTAGATTTCCCATATGACCCAGCAATTCTACTCCTGGGTATATACCCAAAAGAAAGGAAAACATATGTTCACATAAAAACTTGCACACAAATGTTCATAGCAGCATTATTCATAATAGTAAAAAAGTAGAAATAATCCAAATATCCATCAATGGATGAATGGATAAATAAAATGTTGGCCGGGCACAGTGGCTCACATCTGTAATCTCAGCACTTTGGGAGGCCGGATCGCTTGTGTCCAGGAGTTTGAGACCAGCCTGGGCAACATGAAGAAACCCTATCTCTAGAAAAAAATAGAAAAGTTAGCCAGGCGTAATGGTGCGCACCTGTACACCCAGCTACTCGGAAGGCTGAGGTGGAAGGATCTCTGGAGCCCGTGAGGTCGAGGCTGCAGTGGGCTGTGATCATGCCACTGCTCTCCAGCTTGGGTGACAGAGCGAGACCCTGTCTCAAGAATTTTTTAATTAAATTCAATTAAACATTTAAAAATAAAATGTTGTCTATTCATAGAGTGGAACATTATTCAGCAGTATAAAGGAATGGAGTTCTGGTTCTGATGAATGTTACAACACAGATGAACCTTCATAATATTATGCTAATTGAAGGGTGCCAATCACAAAAGACCACATATTTTATGTTTCCTTTTATATGCAATGTTCAGGATAGGCAAATCCATAGACACAGAAAGTAGATTAGTGGTTGTCAGGAGTTGGGGGGAAGAGAGAGTGAGGAGTGACTGCTAGTGGGTAGAAAATTTATTTTGGGGGTGGTGAAATGTTCTAAAAGGTATGATGGTGATGGTTGCACAACTTTGTGAATATACTAAAAACTGCTGAATTGTACATATTAAATGGATAAATTATGTGGTATGTGAATTATATCTCAATAAAGCTCTTATTTTAAAAAAGGTTACATGTGCTATGAAGGTTTTTGTCATAAGCACCAAATACTGTGTACATGAATTTACTGCCATGTAACTTTCAGTGCTTTTCTTACTCCTGGCACATAGTAGGCCATCAATAGATGTTTGTTGAAGGAATGGTGAATGGTTTCTAAGAAGCTAGAATATTCAGTGAATTGGGCTGGAGGATTCTGATTTAAATTTCTGGAGGCTATCCTGAAAATCCATGGATTTTCTTTCCTACAAGAAAGAAACTAGCATGAAGCTTGGCATATGGCATGCTCTCAATAAATAGCAGTTCCTTCCCTCTTTTTTCAAAACAGTTCTAAAATGTATTATTCTACTTTCTTAGTATCAACCTTTTCAGCTTTATAATGAATTATCAATGGAAATAGGAGTAGAAATTTTAAAAGACCAATCTTATTTGTGTCCAGTAGTGGGAGTCACACTCAGCTAAGAAATGGTTTTTTGATGTTAAAATTTGAATAAACGGGCTAGTACAGTGGTTCTCAGTGCATCAGAATCACCTGAAGAATTGATCTGGGGTGGGGCTCAAGAAGCTGCATTTCCAACAAGTTCTAAGGGAGACCAGCATTTCTTCCTTTTAAAAAAATTTTTTTAATTTTTGAAACAATCACAAAATTACAGGGAAATCAGAGATACAATTCAAAGAACTATTTCTACTGAGCCATTTGAGAGCAAATTGCTGACATCACCTGTGTGGAATTTCTACAAACAAGATATTCTACATAACCGAAATATAACCATCAGAATCAGGAAAGAAACACTGATGCGTTAGTACTATCTAATCTTCACATCCCATTCAAATTTTACCAGTTGCCCCAATAACATTGTTTACAGCTAATGATCCAGTTCAAACCATGCATTGCAGTTACTTGTCATATGTCTCTAGCCATGAAACACTTCCTCAGTAACTCCTTGACTTTCCTGACCCTGACACTTTTGAAGATTACAGGCCAGTTATTTTTTAGCGTCCCTTAATTTGGGCTTCTCTATTTCCTCAAGTGTAGATTCAGGTTATGAATCTTGGGAGGCATATCATAGAAATGCCTCTGTGTTCTTCTCAGTGTATCAGGTGCCACACAATAGTAATGTGTTGCATTTCTGATGATGCTAACTTTTATCATTTAATAAAGGTGCTGTCAGTCTTCTCCACTATAAAGTTATTCTTTTCCTCTTTGCAATTAATAAATATTTTGTGGAGAGATGCTGTGAAATAATCCAAATATCCCATTCTTCATCAAACTTTCATTTATTTATTTATAGCTCTATGGATGTGATTTCCAATTTTATTCAATAGGGTTAGAATTCATCATTATTATTTATTTTGATATTCAGATTGTCCCTCAGTAGGCTAGTTGGAGCCCCTCTACCTGTCTTCTATGCCTTTTGACTTGTCCCCAACACTTTCTGAGCACTTCCTGACTTTCAGGCACAACAAGATGTTCCAGACTCATCTCGCACTTTCCATGCTACAGCCCTGGAATCAGCCATTTCTCCAAGGAGCCATAATTCCTTTTAATTGCAAATGGTGTTTGAGGCCAAAATCTAGGTGCTCAGTGTGCTTATTGATATCGGAGTGTTGTTCCTCTAGGCCTTTTCAGCGAGAGCTAAGTAATATACATACATACGTATGTTAGGCATTGATTGCTGTATAACAAATTACCACAAATTTAGCATCTTAAAACAACACACATTCATTACCTCACAGTTTTGTGGCTCAGGAGTCCTGGCATGGCTTAGTGGAATCCTCTGCTTTAAATTCTCACAAAATGTCAACTGAGGCTATGGTTTTATCTCAGGGTTCATCTGAGGAAAGACACGCTTTCAAGCTCATGTGGTAGCAAGATTCAGGTCTTTCTGGGTGTGCTGAACTGAGGGCCTCAGGCTTTTACTGGCTATTGGCTGAAGGCTACCCTCAGTTCCTTGCCATGTGGGCCTCTCCCTAGGGCGATTCATCACCTAGCAACTTGCTTCATCAAAGTCAGCAAGAAGACCAGATGAGCTGGCTCATGCCTGTAATCCCAGCACTTTGGGAGGCCGAGGCGAGGATGACTTGAGCCCAGGACTTTGAGACCAGCCTGGGCAACATGGCGAAATCCTGTCTCTATAAAAAATACAAAAAAAATTAGCTGGGCATGGTGGCACATGCCTGTAGTCCCAGCTAATTGGGAGGCTAAGGCAGGAGGATCACTTGAGCCCAGAAGGCAGAGATTGCATTGAACTATGATGGCGCCATTGCACTCCAGCCTGGGCTACAGAGCAAGACTTTGTCTCAAGAAAAAGCAGAGGCCAGGCACAGTGACACATACTTGTAGTCCCAGCACTTTGGGAGGCTGAGGCGAGCAGATCATCTGAGGTCAGGACTTCAAGACCAGCCTGGCCAACATGGTGAAACCCCATCTCTACTAAAAATACGAAAATTAGACAGGCTTGGTGGTGCACGCCTGTAATCCCAGCTACTCAGGAGGCTGAGGCAGGAGAATCACTTGAACTCGTGAGGCGGAGGTTGCAGTTAGTTGAGATTGCACCACTGCACTCCAGCCCGGGCAACAGAGCGAGACTCCATCTCAAAAGAAAAAAAAAAAAAGCAAAAGAGAGTCTCCAAGCAAGATGGACATTATAATCTTATGTAACATACTCACAGAAATGACATTCCATTCTATTTGCTATATTCTCTTGGTTAGAAGTGAGTCATAGGCTCTGCCCACACTCAAGGGGAAACCATGAATACTGGGGGTGAATACAGGGGGTGCAGATCATTCCAGGGCATCTCAGGAGCATCTTTAACACATGGTAGATGCAAGAGGAGACTCAGGCCTCCCAAAGTGAATAAGTGGGGGCCTTCTGAGAGTATGCCCACCACAATACATATATATGGATGTTCATTTATGTTTATAAGTCTATCTATTCATCTATCTTGAAAACTCTGATTCATACTAATACACCCAATTCTAATCCAAAACCACAATATTCATCTTAGTTTTCTTCCTTTCCATATTTTTAACTCCCCTGACAGTGAGAAACCTTTATGTATACATATGTATACATATACGTATACATGTATACATGTATACATTTATGTATACATATGCATATATATACATGTGTGTATATATATATACGTGTATATATATATATATTTTTTTTTTTTTTTTTGAGATGGAGTCTTACTCTGTCACCCGGACTAGAGTGCAGTGATGCGATCTTGGTTCACTGCAACCTCTGCCTCCTGGGTTCAAGCAATTCTCCTTTCTCAGCCTCTCAAGTAGCTGGGACTGCAGGCACCTGCCACCACACCCTGCTAACTTTTGTATTTTTAGTAGAGACGGGTTTCACCATATTGGTCAGGCTGGTCACGAACAGAAACCTTAATATATTTCTTATTGCATCAATCTCCAAACTCCACAGTTGTCTCTTCTCCCTTATGGATGCTTTTCTTTCTCCGCTCAGGCTCTGATGCCCCATGTCAGGCTGCCCCCAGGTAAGGATGCTCAGATACACACATCAAGCACCCCCGTGAGTGGATGCGCCTCACCCTGTAGGCTGTGACTCCCGGGCTGACCTCCCCCTTGCATGGAGGCCCCTTTACCTGGTGTGGCTCTGACGCACCGCAGCCCTGTCTCTCCCCTCCCTGTGAATGCCCACCTCACTCTGCCCCATCTCATACTTCAGGACTCAATCATTCAGGAAGAAAGGGATAAGAAAGGAAGGAGCACATTTCTCTTTAATGTTTCCATTTTCCTCATTAAATACAGTTCCCCTGCCCTCCCCCAAAATATGAGAGAGAGGGTACAAAACATTCCCTGAACAGATGGTGTAAAGTACGAGTGGCTATTCTATAAACTTGCAGCTTATTAGCTGGAGTTGAAGGAACTCTCCTGTGTGAGGCAGCAGGGAAAAATATAAAGGAGGGACAAATGGAAATAGTCATGCACAGTGTTTTCATTTCACCTCCATGCTCTGCTCCGGCTCTGCTCTTTTCCAGTCTGAGATGCCCACTCTTTCTCCTTTGCATTAGTTCAATTCCTTACTCCATTCAAGGGCCCCTCTCAAGGTTCCTTCCATAGAAATCTCTCACTAACTTGAGCCCAGCTATTTTCCCCTCCTTTGAAATTCCAACCCATTTTCAGTCTTTGCCACTCACATTCTAGCACTTGATTCTACATGAACTTGCACTGGTCTCTAGCTTTCTCTTTTCTTTTTTTTTGAGACACAGTCTTATTCTTGTCACCCAGGCTGGAGTACAGTGGCGCAATCTTGGCTCACTGCAGCCTCCACCTCCCGGGTTCAAATGATTCTCCTGCCTCAGCCTCCTGAGTAGCTGGGATTTCAGGTGCCCACCACCACACCTGGCTAATTTTGTATTTTTAGTAGAGTTTCACTATATTGGCCAGGCTGGTCTCGAATGCCTGACCTCAAAAGATCTGCCTGCCTCGGCCTCCCAAAGTGCTGCGATTACAGTTATGGGCCACCACACCCAGCCTCTAGCTTTTTCATATATACATTTTTTTCCTCCTAAGCTAGACAATAAATTCCTTATAAATACACTTCATTGTGTGTTTCATGTGCTTGTTGAGTGATGAAGAACAGCCTTGCTGTGGAGTGATATGATATTGACGGGAAGAGGGGAAGATGGAAACCCTTTCAGAAGGGTGGCCACTAGCTATTTCATCTGTTTCTTTGCTTAGCTCACTCTCTTCACTTGAGAGCAGGCACAGCATTGAGATGTTCAATAAATACATACTGAATTATAATTTAACATTTACGGCAACCACGATTTCTCCAGAACACATGGACCCCAGAATACATGTGCGACGTATTTCAATGACCCCAAATGGATAATCAATTACATGCACATAAAACTGGAGGGATGGCTTTATTTCTATCCCTGTTTTTCTGAACCCTGTACATCATACTAGCCCTGTAATTTTGAGGATCTTGCTGAATGTGAATGCACAATTATTCCCACAAAGCATTGAAACAGGGATCACAGGTTAAGATTATGTTCTGATACGGCATCAAACTTTAAAAAGGCAGCAACCTTTGCTGCAATAAGAAAATAGTACGACCAATTTCCTAGTGTGCTGAGTAGCCTTATTGCATCCTAGCCAGGGTGTTTAAGGGGATTGTTTCTCACAAATCCTTCAAAGGTATCCAGTGTATGGAGCTACATGTGATTTGAATTTCAGACTTATTTAAGTAACAGCTTAGAAGTTTGTCTAATTACAAAATCCCTAGTAACCATGTAGGGGTTGGATACTAATCATTGTCACAGAAATGTTAAATATCGGCCAGGCGCGGTGGCTCACGCCTATAATCCCAGCACTTTGGGAGGCTGAGGTGGGTGGATCACCTGAGGTCAGGAGTTTGAGACCAACCTGACCAACATGGAAAAACCCCGCCTCTACTAAAAATACAAAAATTAGCCAGGTGTGGTGGCACATGCCTGTAATCCCAGCTACTCGGGAGGCTGAGGCAGGAGAATCACTTGAACCTGGGAGGTAGAGGTTGCGGTGAGCTGAGATCGCACCACTGCACTCCAGCCTGGGTGACAGATCGAAACTCCGTCTCAAAAACAAACGTTAAATAGCTTGACCCAAATCACTAAAAAGCCTCAGATCTGGAAAACCTTGACCTTTTGACCAGTATCTCTTTCTGAAGTCATTGGGGATATTATCATTTTGGTTTTTTTTTTGTCTTGTTGGTGTTCACAATGAATAAGAAGACAGTGGCTTTGGCTTGCACATTGTATTCAGGTGATGGTATCAAGCCTTCTCTAATCACCCCAATCTAATATCCAGCTAGTCAAAACAGACCTAGAGCATAACATCACACGATCACAACACACAGTACATCCATTTGGCAGCTGCTGGGAGGACAGCCGCAGTTCCTCTCGGCTGAACGTGGCTCCTTTAAGGGGCGGCCGCAGGAAAGAATGCATGTGTGCTGCCAAAACAACATGTGAGCCGGCGAAGATGATCCTGAACTTGAGCACGTGAAGAGGGTGATGCAAAACATAGACCGCGCTCTTTCTTTTTGGCAAAAACAAGAGACAAAAGACACCTTGCAGGAGAGAGGAAGGGAATTTTTAGATGTGATAGTTATAGCCATGTTCAGAGGATTTTCCCATCAAGTAGAATAGTTGAGTCTAGTTCCATAAGTAACTGGATACACATGTACACACACACACACACACACACACACACACATATGCACGCTCGTTTAGTTGCCCAGGGAGTATCTTAAGAAATCAAACTAGCATTTTGACTTTTGTTCCATATGTCAGGGATCACTCAGAGGTTGCCTCTGAGCATTCTTGTTCCTTGTGGAGCACTGAGGGGAATGACTGCTTTAGGATAGGGCTTTTTTTTTTTTTTTTTTTTTTTTAGGATAGGGCTAGCTCATAAAGAACTGTTTGCTGAAGTCCTTTGTTTGCTTAACTACCATCCTGAATCAACGTACTCTTGTGATGCGGATGAGACTGTTAAAACGAGGCTGGACAAGAGTGCGCAGTGTAAATCTACTCTCAAACACACAAGCGGTTGAAAATGCCCCTATCTGAGAAACTAAGTAACAAATGAGAAGCTTTTGTGCTCAAGAGAGGTTCTGTGATGATTCCTTTGTTTAGCAAATACCTCAGTTATTTTGGCTATGTATCTGCATTTTCAATTTTCCGGGTGCTTAGTTTAAGTTCCACCTGTACTAATCAGAATGTTGTTTTAAAAAAAATACTGGAAATGATTGCATTTTCCTTTGCCAGACTACTAGGTAGTGAAACAGCAGGGGCTTTGGAGTCAGACCTAACTAGAACCCACTTCTGTCCCTAACTAGTAAAAGCAAAAAGGTCATTTTGCCTCTCTGATTTTCAGTGTTTGTATCTGTAAAACGGGGGCCATTCTTCCAAGTTCACAGAGCAGTGTGCGGTACAGTGCTGGCCTGCAGTAGGTGCGCAGGGAATGAAAGTGATGATTGCTTTTGTTAATTACACAGTCAGAAGCCTACAGAGCTTGCACGTCATAGAAGGCCACCACCTCAGACCTAATTCCTGTTCAGGCCAAGGAGAGGGTAACAGCCAGCTCCTCAGACTGTTCAAAATTCAGAGCATAGATTCTACAGGAAGGCAGATTGAGAAAACATGTCCTTCGAAATCCATCAGAGGCACAAAAGGACAAATACTGTATAATTCCACTTATATGAGGAACCTAGACTAGGAAAATTTATAGGGACACAGAATCAAATAAAGGGTCCCAAGGGATTGGAGAATGAGGAGGCATTGTTTATAGGGTACAGAGTTTGTGTCTGGGATGGTGAAAAAGTTCTAGAGATAGTGATGATGGTTGCATAACCATGCCAACGTACTTAATACCACTGAATTGTACACTTAAAAATGTTGAAAATGGCAAATTTTGGGCTGGTCATGGTAGCTCATGCCTGTAATTTCAGCATTTTGGGAGGCTGAGGCAGGAGGATTACTTGAGCCCAGGATTTCAGTGCCAGTCTGGGCAATATAGTGAGACCCTGTCTCTACAAAAAAAATTAAAGAACTAGCCAGGTGTGGTGGCATGCACCTGTGGTCCCAACTACACAGGAGGCTGAGGCAGGAAGATGGCTTGTGCCCAAGAGGTCAAGGCTGCAGTGAGCCATGTTCACACCACTATACTCCAGCCTGGTGGACACAGTGAGATCCTATCTCAAATAAAATAAAATAGTAAAATTTTATGTCATATATGTTTTACCATAATTTTTAAAAAGAGAAAAAAAATCATTGGAATGAAGCAAATTAAGATACATCCACTTGTGGAATTCTATGTAGCTGTTAGAGGGAATGGGGTAGATTTTATTCTACTGACATGGAAAGATGCCCAAGATATACAGCTAAATGAAAAAAGCAAGCTGCAATCGTATGTGTAGTATAACGCCAGTTTTGTTTTTTTTTCTGCTTGAATTTCTTTACATTCATTAACTGATCTAATCTTCACAACACACCTATGATGTATATATTGTTACCATGACTCCATTTTGCAGATGAGGAAACTAAGGCACAGAGAGGTTAAGAACCTTGCCCCAGGTCACAGATCTAATATGCAGTAAAGCTAGTTTTTTTTTTTGTTTTTTTTTTTTGTTTTTTTTGAGATGAAGTCTCACTCTGTTGCCTAGGCTGCAGTGCAGTGAGACGATCTCGGCTCACTGCAATCTCTGCCTCCTGGGTCCCAGTGATTCTCCTGCCTCTGCCTCCCGAGTAGCTGAGATTACAGGCCCCTGCCACCACACCCAGCTAATGTTTTTGTATTTTTAGTAGGGATGGGGTTTCACCATATTGGCCAGGCTGGTCTCGAACTCCTGACCTCGTGATCCACCCGCCTCAGCCTCCCTAAGTGCTGGGATTACAGGCGTGGGCCACCGTGCCTGACCGAGCTACAATTTTGACGCAAATCCAACTATCTGGCCCCCAAAATCTGAGTTCCAAAACCTTCAGCATCAGCTTCCCTGGGAGCATTTTAGAGATGTGGATTCTCTGGCTGTGCCCCAGACCTACTGAATAAGAATCTGCAGGGTAACTATCCCCAGATGATTCTTGTGCACATTAAAGTCTGGGAAGACTGAAGCCTAAAGCACCATGCAACACAACGCCAGTTTTATAGTAAGTTTAATATATGCATAAAATAATTTACTTGGAATTCTGTGGCCTTTTAAGTTTTTTAACTGAGCAATGTATTCTAGAAACTAGACCAAAAAATCTGTGTTAAATTGGCCATGAACCAGGTTCACATCCTGTGTCATCACTGGCTTAGGAGTTACTCTGTCAGAGTTTAGAAATGTGTTTCTCTTGGAGCTCCTGCCTAAAGCTTTCCTAATGTAGTCCTTTACAATATAATAAAACCTTATTAAGTTGAACTCAATTCTTTTTTTGTTTTTTTGTTGTTTTTTGTTTCTGAGACGGAGTCTCACTCTGTCGCCCAGGCTGGAGTGCAGTGGCGTGATCTCGGTTCACTGCAAGCTCCGCCTTCCGGGTTCACGTCATTCTCCTGCTTCAGCCTTCCGAATAGCTGGGACTACAGGCGCCCGCCACCACGCGCGGCTAATTTTGTTTTTGTATTTGTAGTAGAGACGGGGCTTCACCGTGTTAGCCAGGATGGTCTCCATCTCTTGACCTCGTGATCCTCCCGCCTTGGCCTCCCAAAGTGCTGGGATTACAGGCGTGAGCCACCGCACCCGGCCAAGTTGAACTCAATTCTGAATTATAATGCATTCATTTTGAACATGGTGAAGGCTTTAATTAATTTAAGAAATTGTTTAGTAAATAAATTGTTATGCTAGTTAATAGACTTGTAAGGGGACACATTTAACTGCTTAAATAAAGCCAGATCCTTTTCTAATTTGAAGGATTTTAGTACATTCATTATTAGTGATTGTAAGTCAGACGTCAACATTTACTAAAGGAACATGAGAGTGCTTCTCCGTAGACAGTCTGGAAGTACTTAACTAATTGGTTAAATGTAGTTTAATCTACTAGAACAAATTTCCTTACAAATAATTCTATAATTCGTACACTTTAAGTAGTGAAGTCTACTACCTTTCCACACCCATTCTTGCAACTGAGCTGGATTAATGAGGTTTTATTTTACCAAGGTTTGAATAATAATTATGTAGTGATCATGAGGTTGATTAAACTCTGAAGTAAGAATGTTTCACTTAACAGCTCCATGCCTCAGTTTCTCCATCTGTAAAATGAGCATATTAAGGGGCACAAGCAGGGTCACAACATGTAGTTGTGGTGGTTGCGCAGGTTGAGAACTGCACAACTCTAGGGGGCACCATTTACAACCTGCATGGTTGTGGGCTGCTCCTCTGCTTGGAGGGTTCCTGAGAGGATTAAATGAGTTAATACACACAGCCCAAGTGAAATTGTGCCTGGAACAGAATAAGCACTGCTTAAGTGTTTAATGTTAACAGAATAGGTATTGATTCAAGGAGTTTTTGCTTTCACATAAATATTGTAATAAACGTCAAGAGAAATGAATTTGGAGGGTATCATGCACTTTCCTCAATAAAAATCGATATGATAAGCAATTACTGTATTATATTCATATTCTTCCATTTAAACAGTCAGAAAAGCAACCTATAATATAAAGACAAAGCGGACATTTCTGCCTTCAAGGGCCCCATAAGCTAGTAATAGACACACGAGAACAAATTGCTCAGGAGACCGGGCACAGTGGCTCATGCCTGTAATCCCAGCACTTTGGGAGGCCGAGGCGGCCAGATCACTTGAGGTCAGGAGTTTGAGATCAGCCTGGCCAACATGGTGACACCCCGTCTCTACTAAAAATACAAAAATATGTAACCAAATTGCTGGGAAGAAGGTGGTAGTTAAGAGTGTGGGCTCTGGAACCACACAGACTCCAAATCCCAGCTCTGCCATCATCAGCTGGAAGACCTTCACCTTAACTTCAGCTTTATCTCTTTAAACCCAATTTCTTTTTCCATATAATGGGGAGAATGATAACACATCACAGAACTGTCATGAGAGTAAAAAGAGGCAATGCATGCAAATCCCATCCCAACTGCTTTTGGCACTAGTAACTCTCAGCACATGCTGTTGCTTGTTTATCATCTCATCAGCATCATTACGATTGCATAGGCAACTGTCTTCTGCTTCACCCTCCATTCCCCAACATCCCTACTTTTTTTCAGACCCTGCTCTTACCATTATGATGTCCATGTGTTTCTCCTCCTTGGCCTTTGCTCTTTAGCATTTATTCTAAACCCTTAGCTTGGCCTAATCCAAGACTCACTTTCTTGAACCAAGGCCTAGAAGGAAGACCAAGAGAGGTGGAAGCCCACTTAGACCACTTACCAACAATTAGCATCTGCTCCTATCCCTTAGGAATCGCAAAATGACAATGGTTTTGTCCTTCTAAGGTAAAATGTGGTTTTGTCCTTATAACGACATAATATAAATGTCCTCATATGTAAAAAAATATATACACCCTGTAATTTTTTATTTTTATTTTTATTTTTGAGACGGAGTCTTGCTGTGTCACCCAGGCTGGAGTGCAGTGGCACGGTCTCGGCTTGCTGCAACCTCCGCTTCCCGGGTTAAAGTGATTCTCCTGCCTCAGCCTCCTCAGTAGCTGGGATTACAGGTGCCCACCACCACACCTGGCTAATTTTTGTATTTTTAGTAGAGACAGGGCTTTGCCATGTTGGCCAGGCTGGTCTCAAACTCCTGACCTCAGGTGATCCACCCGCCTCAACCTCCCAAAGTGCTAGGATTACAGGTGTGAGCCACCGCACCCAGCCTGCCCCTGCAGTTTCTTTTTTTTTTTTTTTTTTTTAGACTGAGTTTAGTTCATGTTGCCCATGTTGGAGTGCAATTGCACGATCTCGATTCACCGCAACCTCCACCTCCCAGGTTCAAGCGATTCTCCTGCCTCAGCCTCCCAAGTAGCTCGGATTACAGGCATGTGTCACCAACCTGGCTAATTTTGTATTTTTGGTAGAGATGGGGTTTCTCCATGTTGGTCAGGCTGGTCTCAAACTCCCGACTTCAGGTGATCCGCCCGCCTCGGCCTCCCAAAGTGCTGGGATTACAGGCATGAGCCACTGTGCCCGGCAGTTTTAACTGTTTCCTGCAGTTTTATCTGTTTCATGTTTAGCTCTTTATTTTAAAGTATAAGCATTAATTATTGCCACACTTAGTAATTTTTTAAAGTTGAATTTGTAAAAACAAAACAAAAACAAAAAGGGCTCATTTGTTCATTAAATGAGACTACTGGACCACCCACCAGCTGCATGGCAAACATTGCGCTGCATAAGATATAAAGAGAATTAAGGTAGAGACTGACTGTTCCCCCAGAAATTTATACATTTGGATAAGAAACCCAAGGTAATGACTGTAACATAGAAATGCTATGTCCTGCAACACAAATAAGCTCAGGATGTTGGGGTGTGTTTGATTCATTAGGCACCACTGGCAGGAGCTTAAGGCCTGCAAGCTTTACCAGGAACTATAAAAATATTTGAGTCCTAAAAAAAAAAAAAAAATATATATATATATATATATATATATATATATATATATATACACACACATATATATACACACACACACACATATATATGTGTATTATATATATATATATTCTAAACCCTTAATGGAGAGAATGATAGATGTATAAATGATATATAAATATCATATCCAAAATATAAAAAGAAAATGAACTATATATAAAAATGATATATAAATATTCAAAATATAAAAATATGAAAACATCAAATAAATCTTTAATTAAATGCCTACATCAC
The DNA here is from genome assembly GCF_000001405.40 of Homo sapiens. Taxonomy (NCBI): domain Eukaryota; kingdom Metazoa; phylum Chordata; class Mammalia; order Primates; family Hominidae; genus Homo; species Homo sapiens. The sequence goes on from NC_000006.12 coordinate 13,739,675, forward strand.
GTAAAAATGCAACACTATGTCAACCGCCTCCAAATTCATCTAGTATTTATTTATTTATTGAGATGGAGTCTCCTTCTGTCGCCAAGGCTGGAGTGCAGTGGCATGATCTTGGCTCACTGAAACCTCTGCCTCCTGGGTTCTAGCAATTCTCCTGCCTCAGCCTCTCGAGTAGCTGGAATTACAGGCGCCTGCCACCATGCCTGGCTGATTTTTGTATTTTTAAGAGACAGTGTTTTACCATGTTGGCCAGTCTGGTCTCGAACTCCTGACCTCAGGTGATCCACCTGCCTTGGCCTCCCAAGTGCTGGGATTACAGGCCTAAGCCACTGAGCACAGCCACATTTAGTATTTATAAAAGTTATTACATCTGAAAACAATTTGTAAACTAGATTATTAAAAGATTTCTGCTGGGCATGGTGGCTCACGCCTGTAATCCCAGCACTTTGGGAGGCTGAGGCGGGTGGATCACCTGAGGTCAGGAGTTTGAGACCTGCCTGGCCAACATGGTAAAACCTTGTCTCTATTAAAAATACAAAAATTAGCCAGGTGTGGTGGCAGATGCCTGTAATTCCAGCTACTTGGGAGGCTGAGGCAGGAGAATCACTTGAACCCGGAGATGGAGGTTACAGTTAGCCAAGATCACACCATTGCACTCATTGCACTCCAGCCTGGGTGACAAGAGCGAAATTCCATCTCAAAAAAAAAAAAAAAAAAAAGATTTCTACAGGCCATGGTGGCTTACACCTGTAATCTCAGTCTTAGGGAGGTTGAGGCGGGACAATCACTTGAGCCCAAGAGTTCAAGACCAGCCTGGGCAACAAAGAGAGACTTCTCTCTACAAAAGAATAATAAAAAATTAGCCACGCATGGTGGCATGCACCTAGATAGTTCAGGTACTCAGGAGTCTGAGGTGGGAGAATTGCTTGAACCCAGGAGGTTGAGGCTTCAGTGAGCCATGATCGTACCATTACACTCAAACCTGAGCAACAGAGCAAGACCCTGTCTCAAAAAAACACAAAATCAAAAACCAAAACCAAAAAAAAAAAAAGATTTTTACAATTACCAGATACATAGAATTATTACTGATATAAATAATTATAAATTTAAAATAATTACCCATAGTCCATTCCCAAAGCAATGTTATAAAGCAAATTCTTTCAAAACTATACCACGAAATTATATTTAATTTAGGATTTGGACACATTTTAATATGTCTAATATGATGTGGGGTGGGGTGTCCACAGGCATATCATAGGCCCACCTGAAGTCTTAGAAGAGCTTGGTTTCTGTGTGAGCCACTGGGAAAGATGAACAATCAGCTGGGCGCGGGGGCTCACACCTGTAATCCCAGCACTTTGGGAGGCAGAGGCAGGCGGATCACAAGGTCAAGAGATCGAGACCACCCTGGCCAACATGGTGAAACCCCGTCTCTACTAAAAAAAAAAAAAAAAAAAAAAAAAAAATATATATATATATATATATATATATATGAATATAAATTAGCTGGGTGTGGTGACGTGCACCTGTAGTCCCAGCTACTCTGGAGGCTGAGGCAGGAGAATCACTTGAATACGGGAGATGGAGATTGCATTGAGCTGAGATTGTGTCATGCACTCCAGTCTGGGCGACAGTGCAAGACTCCATCTGAAAAAAAAGAAAAAGAAAGAAAGATGAATAATCCAGACTTTGAGAGCCAAGAAAGGCCTCCGGGTAATGCCTGAGGGAAGTTGTGAAGGGGAGTTAGGTGAGTTAGTTAGTTAGAGATGCCTTGACAAGGTATCACAGACTGGGTGGTTTAAACCACATAAATATATTGTCTCACAGTTCTGGAGGCTGGAAGTCCAAGACTAAGGTGTTGGCAGGGTTGGTTTCTTCTGTGGGCGCAAGTGTGAATCTGTTCTATGCCTCTCTCCTAGCGTCTGGTGGTTTGCCAGCAATCCTTGGCACTCCTTGGCTTGCGGCAGCAAAATTTCAGTCTTCACATGGCATTCTCTCCCTACATCTCAATCTGTGTGCAAATTTCCCCTTTTCATAAAGACAGTGGTCATATTGGATTAGAGGCCTCCCTGCTTCAGTATGACCTCATCCTAACTAATTATACCTGCAATGACCCTATTTCCAAATAAGGTCACATTTGGAGGTCCTGAGAGTTAGGACTTCAACATAAGGTTTTTTTTAGGGACATAATTCAGCCTATAACAGTGGGTAAAGAAGTGATGGGGGGAAGGCCAGGGAAGGAGGACAGAGTAACTCGTGCAAAGGTCTCACAGGGAAGAGAGAACACAGGACCTGTCTAAAAACGGAATCAAGAGAGGTGAGATAAGGGATCAGATCACAAAACACTTTGTAAACTAAATATGGGTTTAATCGAAAAGGCAGGATTTTTCAGTGTGATTTTGTTGTTGGTGGTGAGACGCAGTCTCACTGTTACCCAGGCTGGAGTGCAGTGGCAGGATCTCAGCTCACTGCAACCTCCTTCTACGGGGTTCAAGCGATTCTCCTGCCTCAGCCTCCTGAGTAGTTGAAACTACAGGCTTGTGCCACCATGCCCAGGTAATTTTTGTATTTTTTAGTAAAGACAGAATTTTGCCATGTTGGCCAGGTTGGTCTTGAACTCCTGACCTCAAATGATCTGCCCCCTCTTGGCCTCCCAAAACGCTGGGATTACAGGCATGAGCCAGGGGGCCTTCAGTGCGATATTTAAAAATCAAAATGAAACAACAGAACAATCCTTATGCATCTCTGCTCTCCCATGCCCTCTCCTTATCAAACTCCCCCTATCCCAAGATCCTGAAAGTCAACTAGGAAAGAACCAAGGCCAGAAGTCTAGGGAGTACTTTGGGTCACATGGCTTGTACCTGGCACAACCCAGGTTAGAATCCAAGGAGGTGACTCCTGTCCGAGTCTCTGCTTTCTACACACCATGCTATTTTTATTTGTCTCACTTAGTAGGTAATTCTTTGGCTGTTATAGAATCTTAGATCATAATTTTTGGAGCAATTTTTAAAATCTGGAGTTCTGTAATCGAGTTAATATCTCTACTTTTATTTTTAAAAAAATTTTTTTTTGGAGGTGGAGTTTCCCTCTTGTTGCCCGGGCTGGAGTGTAATGGTGCCATCTTGGCTTAAGTGCAATGTTACGATCTTGGCTTACTACAACCTCTGCCTCCCGGGTTCAAGAGATTCTCCTGCTTCAGCCTCCCAAGTAGCTGAGATTACAGGCGCCTCCCACCACACCCGGCTAATTTTGGTATTTTTAGTAGAGACAGAGTTTTTGCCATGTTGGCCAGCCTAGTCTCGAACTCCTGACCTCAAGTGATCCGCCTGCCTCAGCCTCCCAAGGTGCTGGTGAGAGATGACAGCATGCTGGCAGCCCTCACAGCCCTCGTTCGCTCTCGGTGCCTCCTCGGCCTCAGCGCCCATTCTGGCCGCGCTTCAGGAGCTCTTCAACCCGCTGCTGCACCGTGGGAGCCCTTCTCTGGACTGGGCGAGACGGGAGCCGGCTCCCTGGGCTTGCAGGGTGTGGAGAGAGAAGCACGGGCGGGAACCGGGGCTGCCTGCCGCGCTTGCGGGCCAGCTGGAGTTCCGGGTGGGCGTGTGCTTGGCGGACCCCGCACTAGGAGCAGCCGGCCGGCCCTGCCGGCCCCGCCGGGGTGTGAGGGGCTTAGCACTCGGGCCAGCACCTGCGGAGGGTGCACTGGGTCCCCCAGCAGTGCTGGCCCACCGGCACTGCGCTCGACTTCTCGCCGGGCCTTAAACCGCCTCCCCGCGGGGCAGGACTTGGGACCTGCAGCCCGCCACGCCTGAGTCTCTCCCTTTCCCCCGCCATGGGCTCCTGCGCGGCCTGAGCCTCCCCGACGAGCGCCGCCCCCTGTTCCACAGCGCCTGGTCTCACCGACCGCCCAAAAACTCAGAAGTGCGGGCGCAGGATGCAGGACTGGCAGGCAGCTCCACCTGCGGCGGGGATGCGAGATCCACTGGGTGAAGCCAGCTGGGTTCCTGATTCCAGTGGGAACTTGGAGAACCTTTATGTGCAGCTAAGGGATTGTAAATACACCAATCAGCACTGTGTGTTTAGCTCAAGGTTTGTAAATACACCCACCTACCCTGTATTTAGGTAATCTAGTGGGGATGTGGAGAACTTTTGTGTCTAGCTCAGGGATTGTAAACGGACCAATCGGCTCTCTGTAAAATAGACCAATCGGCTCTCTGTAAAATGGACCAATCAACAAGATGTGGGTGGGACCAGATAAGGGAATAAAGGCAGGCTGCCCGAGCTAGCCCCCACAGTGGTAACAGCGCGGGTTTACTTTTATGTTGTGGAAGATTTTTGGAAGCTTTGTTGTTTCACTCTGTAGTAAATCTCATGGCTGTTCTTTCTTTGGGTTCACACTGCTTTTATGGGCTATAACACTGTCTGCAACCCGGTAAGCACTAGCTTAAGAGTTATAACACTCACCGTGAAGGTCTGCACTTTTGCTTCTGAAGGCAGTGGGATCACGAACCCACAGAAGGAAAATACTCCGAACACATCCCAACATCAAAAGGAACAAACTACGAAGACGCCGCCTTTAGGAACTGTAACAGTCACCGTGAGGGTTCACGGCTTAATTCTTGAAGTCAGTGAGACCAAGAACCCACCAATTCCGAACACAGTGGGACTACAGGTGTGAGCCACTGGGTCTAGGTTGTTTAAGTCTTTTAGGTTAGACTGTTAATCACTCATAGTAGAAAAACTGAAATGATCTGTTTATGTATCTCTTTTTGGCTACTCTGTAAGCACCAGCCAGGCAGGGCCATGGCCTAGCCATTCCTAAACCCTGCTGCTGAGTGGTGAATTCAGTAAGTGTTAAATTAACCGTAAGGCCAAGGATGTTCTCTTTCTCAGCTGTGGAGATCTGTTCTCAGCTGGGTATGCCCAGGATCCGGCACTGTAGACACAGTTCAAGACCCGGGGTACCCCGGGTTTTATAAGCCTTTTAAGCCTTTGGTAACATTTAGGAGTCCCAGGCTACTATCAACAAAAATCTCATGGTGAGCCCCAAACCCAGAAGTGACTGCTCTAAGCAGAAAAGCCAGATATTTGCACATCAGAAATCCTGAAAAAGAAAAAAATCACAAAGGAGTTCTAAAGAAAAAGAGAAATCCTGAACAAAAACTTTTCTAAAAAATACACAACCCAGAAACCACAAGAAAAACACGGACAGACTGCATTAAAAAATATGCAACAAAAGACATGGTTAATTGTTAAAAGACATATGACAGTCTATAAAATATTTACATCATATATTCTAATTAAGGTTTAATATCCCAAATGTACACAAAGAGCCAGAAGAAGAAAAACTCAAAAGGAAAAGGCAAAATAGATGAATATGAAATTTGTGTAGTGGCAATATACAGGGCTGATAATAAAAAAGTCTTGTTGGCTGGGTGCGGTGGCTCACACCTGTAATCCCAGGACTTTGGGAGGTCAAGGTGGGTAAATCACTTGAGGTAAGGAGTTCGAGACCAGCCTGGCTAACATGTTGAAACCCCGTTTCTACTAAAAATACAAAATTAGCCAGAAGTGGTGGCGCACACCTGTAATCCCAGCTACTTGGCAGGCTGAGGCATGAGGATCGCTTGAACCCGGGCGGCAGAGGTTGCAGTGAGTTGAGATCGCACCACTGCACTCCAGCCTGGGAGACTTTGTCTCAGGAAAAAAAAAAAAATTAGTGGGGCATGGTGGCACCTGCCTGTACTCCCAGCTACTCGGGAGGCTGAGGCAAGAGGATCGCTTGAGCCCAGGAAGTCAAGGCTGCAGTAAGCTGAAGTTATGGCACTGCCGTCTAGCCTGGCTGACAGAGCAAGACTGTCTCGAAATAAAAGAAGATAATTTTTTCTCTAAAAGGCTGTGTTGCTTCATCGAGTTCAAATGCTTGAGATGAACTACCTGCATTAAGGGGGTCATCTAAGAGACGTGATGGGATGTAGAGACACAAGTGCTGGACTGGGAGTTAGGAGGCCTGGAATCAAGTTTCACTTCTGCTAGTAACAGCAAGATCTTAGGAATACCACAGAACTGTCTAGGGCTCAGTTTCCTCATCAGCAAATATTGGTCTTGGATTAGACAACTTTTAAGTTCTCTCCTACTTGAACTATTCCTTTTTGCTTATAAGATGCTATGTATGTATGTATCTATCTATCTGTCGTTCTATCTACTTAGCTAACTATCCATCCATTTAGGTTAACAATTTTAGCCGGGCGTGGTGGCTCACACCTGTACTCCCAGCACTTTGGGAGGCCGAGGCAGGTGGATCACCTGAGGTCAGGAGTTCAAGACCAGCCTGGCCAACATGGCAAAACCCCATCTCTACTAAAAATACAAAAAATTAGCCAGGCATGGCGGTGGGCACCTATAATCCCAGCTACTTGGGAGGCTGAGGCAGGAGAATTGCTTGAACACGGGAGGCAGAGGTTGCAGTGAGCGGAGATCGCACCACTGCCCTCCAGCCTGGGTAACGAGAGTGAAATTCCATCTCAAAAAAAAATGCGGGAGCAAGTAAAAATACAATATGATACGAAAAACATTCTAACAATATGAAAATACACACAGTGAAAAAGTAAGTTTCTCTCTCACCCATGACACACAGCACTCTAGTTTCTGCCTCACTTTAGCCACTCAACACTCTATTTTATATGCAGATAATTCTCCATCCTTCCTTTTTTCATATAACTATCTAGAAATGGACCTGCTAGATTAGAAGATATGTGTATCTTATGGTGTTTGTTTGTGTGTGTGTTTGTTTCTCGAGACGGAGTCTTGCTGTGTCGCCAGGCTGGAGTGCAGTGGTGTGATCTCAGCTCACTGCAACCTCCGCCTCCTAAATTCAAGTGATTCCCCTGCCTCAGCCTCCCAAGTAGCTGGGATTACAGGCACACACCACCAAGCCCGGCTAATTTTTTTGTGTTTTAGTAGAAACGGGGTTTCACCATGTTGGCCAAGATGGTTTCGATCTCCTGACCTCGTGATCCACCCGCCTCGGCCTCCCAAAGTGCTGGGATTACAGGCGTGAGCCACCATGCTGGCCATATCTTATGTTTTAATAGATGTTGCTAAACTGAGCACCAAAGAGGACCATGCTTATTTTTCCAGTTCTTCATCTACACCTTATGTTATCAGACTCTCATTTTTGTTATTCTGCAAGATGGAAAAACTACATCTAGTGGTTTTACCTTGCCTTTCATTTATTGTGTATGAGGTAGAGAATCTTTTAATATGCTTAAAAGCCATTGACATTCATTATTTTATGAATCATCTATTCATGTACTTGGCCCTTACTTTTTGTACAACCAGATTTTTTCCTGGAATGCAGAAAATGGGGCACCCTTAACACCCCCATCATGGAGAGATGGAACTTAAAGGACATCACTCTTAAGGCCTGGGTTACAGGTGGGTGTTTGAGGGCGGCAGTTGGTGGAATGGGCCAGGAAGGACTGGCAGAGTGTAAAGGGAGGACTCCCGCTGCCCAGCTAAGAATGGCTTTTATATTCCAAAGGTTTTAAAACAACAACAATAAACAAAAAACGAAGAAGAATCTGATACTTTAGGGGATCACATGACCCACAAAACCTAAAATATTTACTATCTGGCTCCTTGCAAAGAACTTTTGGGTTGAAAAGAAAAAGAAGAGGCTGAGATGGAGTCATCTGGGAGGTGGGAGCACACTCAGCTAGAATAGCATCTCAGAATTGAAGAGTTACAAATTATCTGAGATTGGCGGGGTTAACAGTGTTGAATGTGACCCAGAAATCAGGTAAGATGGAGATTTAAGAATGCCGAGGCGGGCGGATCACGAGGTCAGGACATCGAGACCATCCTGGCTAACACGGTGAAACCCTGTCTCTACTAAAAATACGAAAAAATTAGCCGTGCATGGTGGTGGGCGCCTGTAGTCCCAGCTACTCGGGACGCTGAGGCAGGAGAATGGCGTGAACCTGGGAGGCGGAGCTTGTGGTGAGCAGAGATCGCGCCACTGCACTCCAGCCTGGGCGACAGAGCGAGACTCCGTCTCAAAAAAAAAAAAAAAAAAAAGCGTGTATTGGAACTGACATTTAGAAAGTAGGTCACTGTGACCGCTGAGAGTTTCGGGGGTGTGTTAATACACAGTCTTTTGAGTCACAAGAAATAAAAACAGAGAGAGAGGGAGGGTGGAGGTGGGGAGGTCGGGGAGACACCTATAGAAATGAGGGCTTAGTAAAAGTTAATTGAAAGAAAGTGGCATGATTTCTTTAAGACAGTTACTATTATGAATGCGAATATGTTCATTTCTTTAAAGCACACCTTTGCAAAAATGTTCATTTCTTTTATTTATTTATTTATTTTTTGAGACGGAGTCTTGCTCTGTTGCCCAGTCAGATCTCAGCTCACTGCAACCTCTGCCTTCCGGGCTCAAGGGATTCTTCTGCCTCAGCCTCCGGAGTAGCTGGGACTACAGGCGAGCGCCACCACACCTGGCTAATTTTTTGTATTTTTAGTAGAGACGGAGTTTTGCCATGTTGGCCAGCCTGGTCTCGAGCTCCTAACCTCAGGTGATCTGCCTGCTTCGGCCTCCCAAAGTGCTGGGATTACAGGCGTGAGCCACCGTGCCCGGCCAAATATGTTCATTTCTTTAAAGCACAACGTAATTAAAATCTGTCTGACTTAAGCTATGTATCTTTCCATTTCTAATCTGTCACGCTATAAGGAGGTAAATTCCTAATGGACTTGAAAATAGAGTGTATCAGGACTGGGTGCAAGCCAGGCCATCTCCCTCATGTTATTGGTGAGGCAGCCGAGGCCCATGGAGGAGAAGTGACCTGACCAGGTCACACAGCCACTGTGCAAGAGCCCCAATTCTGGTTTTCAGTCCCAACCCTTTTCCACTCTATTGCTGCCATTTTATCTTCTTTAACACTCCAGGACCATCTAACATCTTGCTCGCATCTAGTAGATCCTCCATAAATATTTTAAATAATTATATATTTCATTTCCAGACATTGTATTTTTTTTTCAACCTTCTGTTTTCAGTACCTTCTTTCAGTTTTGTAAAACTCAACATCATTGTATTTTAAGAATGCAGTTTCTTGGATTTTGATAAGTATAGACTCTTATGTAATCACCGTCATAATCAATATTTACAACGTTTCTGTCTTGGCAAAATAATTCTCTGCTATTTCTTTTCCATCTTTATCTCTGATCCCAGGTAACCTCGAATCTGCTTTCTGTTGTCATAGATGATTTTCCCCTTTTCTGAAGTTTCATATAAATGGGATCATACATTATATACTCTTTGGTGTTTGCTCCTTTGATCTCACATAATGTTTTTGAAATAAAAATATATTGAGGGCTGGGCATGGTGGCTCACACCTGTAATCCCAGCATTTTGGGAGGCCAAGGCAGGCGGATCACCTGAAGTCAGGAGTTCGAGATCAGCCTGGCCAACATGGTGAAACCCCGTCTTTACTAAAAATACAAAAATTAGCTGGGCGTGGTGGTGCATGACTGTGATCCCAGCTACATGGGAGACTGAGGCAGGAGAATTGCTTGAGCCTGGGAGGCAGAGGTTGCAATGAGCGGAGATTGTGCCACTGCACCTCAGCCTGGGCAACAGAGTGAGACTCTGTCTCAAAAATAAATAAATAAATAAATAAAATAAACAAACAAAAATATATTCAATGTTTTGAATTTATTCAGGTTGTGTACATCAGTAGTTTATTCCTTTTTATTGCTGAGTAGTGTTCCATTATGTTGACATATATAGATACACCATCATTATCTATTTGCTTGCTAATAGATATTTTGGTTATTTTCTGTTTTGTTTTCACTATTATAAATAAAGCTGCTATAAGCATTTATGTACAAGTCTTCTTGTGGACATGTTTTCATTTGTCTTGGGTAAACAGCTAGGAGTGAAATTTCTGGGTCGTACGGTTATTGTAACCTTAGAAGAAACTGCCAAACTATTTTCCAAATTGGTTGTGCTGTTTTGTACATCTATCAGCAATGTTCATCCTGGCCAATACTTGGAACTGTCAGTTTAAAAAATCTTAGCCATTCTGGTGGCTGTGGAGTGGTATTTTCTTGTAGTTTTCATTTGCATTTCTCTGATAAATGAAAATGTGAAGCATTTTTCATGTACTTATTGGACAATTCTATATCTTCTTTTGTAAAATATTTGTTTATATCTTTTGCCCATAAAAAATTCGGGGTTTTGTCTTCTTACTGTTTATTTATAAAAGCTGTTTATATATTCTGGATAGAAGTCCTTTGTCAGTCCTTTCTGACTTATATGAAGATTAGAAGTTAAAAATTTGATGGAGTTCAATTTCTCAATGTCTTCTTTTCATGCCTTTGTGTCCCATCTAAGGAATCTGCCTAACCCAAACTTGTGAAGATTTTTTCCTATTTTTTCTTATAGCAGTGTTATAATTTTAGCCTGTAGAAGTAGGTCTTTGATTATTTCAAGTTAATTTTTGCATATGGTGTGAAGTAAAAGTTAAGGCTCATGTTTTTTCATATGGATATCCAGTTTTTCCAGCATGTTGTTGAAAAGATACCCTTTGCTCATTGAATTACCTTGGCACTTCTGTCTAAAGTCAATTGACTATATATGTGAGGATCTACTTCTGAACTCTCTGTTCCATTAATCTATTTGTCTGTTCTTACACTAATATTATATTAGCTTAATTACTGTAGCTTTATAGTTAGTATTGAATTCAGTTAGTGTAATTCCTCCACCTTCATTCTTCTTTTTAAAAAAAATTCTTGGCCGGGCGCAGTGGCTCACGCCTGTAATCCCAGCACTTTGGGAAGCCAAGGTGGGCAGATCATCTGAGGCTGGGAGTTCAAGACCAGCCTGACCAACATGGAGAAACCCCGTCTCTACTAAAAATACAAAATTAGCCAGGCGTGGTGGCGCATGCCTGTAATCCCACCTACTTGGGAGGCTAAGGCAGGAGAATTGCTTGAACCCAGGAGGCGGAGGTTGTGGTGAGCCGAGATCATGCCATTGCACTCCGGCCTGGGCAAGAAGAGCAAAACTCCATCTCAAAAAAAAAAAAAAAAGAAGAAGAAGTAGTAGTCTTGGCTTTTCTATGTCTTTTGCAATTGCACAGAGATTTTAGCGTGAACTTATCAACTTCTTTTTAATAATATGCTTAGATTTTGATAGAGATTGCACTGAATCTATTGTCAATACTTTTTTCATTAAAAAATGTCATTCAGGGTTTGCTGGCTTTCATGCATGATGGCTTATTTCCTTGTATGTTCTGAGATATTTTTATTGTGAGCTCATATTCCTTGGAAATCTATCTCTTATAATTTGTTGAGGCCTGGATTTAAAATCTGTTTTCCAGAGAAGATTTGTATATATATTTCCCAGGCATAATTTACTACCTTGGCCTACTCTAAACAAAAATTGAAACACAAATTTTAAACAAAAATGGCTTATCCTTTTGTTGTTTTAGAATGATGGTGTCCATTTCTAATAATTATTTTTTCCAGTTTTCCCATGGATATATGGGTGGGGAAGATTGACCAGTTTATGTCACTATATATGTGTAAAATGAAGAAGTTAAAATCGTGTATTTTCTTCATGTAAGGTTAACCACTTGGCAGAGAATTGGATTAGACCAACTCAGAGAGGACAATCCTAATGAACTAAAATGGGAATTTCTCTAGAATGATAGAGCAACTGAACTAATTTCCTTCATTATGAAATTGGAGTCAATCAGCAAAAGATTTATTTGAATCCATCTTTACTACAAATTAACCATACAAATGTAAAAATAGATAAGTAGATTCACGATAGTCACTGCTGATGGTGTGTGGAGGTGTGTTTCTGTGTGGCAGTGTTAGACCAGGAGTGTGTAAAGGTGCAGAGAGGGGCTTAACAGTGTTCACAAGTTGCAGGGGCAACAGAAATGAGCAGGAAAATGCAGGTCCACCTGTAGGAATTTTACCTGCATCTATCTGCCCTCTCCAATTTCTTTTTCTTTTTCTTCCTGTTTCTATTTTTTTGAAATGGAGTCTCACTCTGTCGCCCAGGCTGGAGTGCAATGGTGCAGTCTCGGCTCACTGCAACCTCTGTCTCCAGGGTTCAAGCGATACTCCTGCCTCAGCCTCCTGAGTAGCTGGGAGCACAGGCACGTGCCACCACATCTGGCTGATTTTTGTATTTTTAGTAGAGACAGGGTTTCACCATGTTGGCCAGGCTTGTCTCGAACTCCTGACCTCAAGTGATCTGCCCCCCTTGGCCTCCCAAAGTGCTGAAGTTACAGGCGTGAGCCACCCACCGCACCCAGCCCCCTCTCTCCAATTTCTAATAGCACATTTTCCACGTAGATTGGATGGGCAATTCCAATATCTTGTGCTTCCCTAGACCAGTACTTCTCAAACTCACCTGGGGATCTTGTCAAAATACACATTCTGATTTAGTAGGTCTGGGGTGCAGACCTGAGATTCTGTATTTCCATTAAGCCCCCAGGGGATCTCAGTGCTGCTGGTCCATGTGCCAAATTTTAAACAGTAAAGTATGGCCTTAGCTTATGCCTCTAATCCCAGCTACTTGGGAAGCTGAGGCGGGAGAATCGCTTGAATCCGGGAGACAGGACTTTGGGAGGCCGAGGTGGGTGGATCACTTGAGGTCAGAAGTTCAAGGCCAGCCTGACCAACATGGTGAAAACCCGTCTCTACTAAAAATACAAAACAAATTAGCCAGGCCTGATGGCACATGCCTCTAATCCCAGCTACTTGGGAAGCTGAGGCAGGAGAATCGCTTGAACCCGGGAGACAGAGGTTGCAGTGAGCTGAGATGGTGCCATGGCACTCCAGCCTGGGTGACAGAGCGAGATTGTCTCAAAAATAAAGTAAAATAAAGTAAAGTAAAAAAATAAAGCAAACAGTAAAGTCCTACAAAAATATCTATTCTACAGTTTACACTTGCCTACCTAAAGCTCCACTGTTAACATTTTTTTTTTTTTTTTTTTTGAGATAGAGTCTCACTCTGTCACCCAGGCTGGAGTGCAGTGGCACAATCTTGGCTCACTGCAACCTCCGCCTCCCAGGTTGAAGCGATTCACCAGCTTCAGCCTTCTGAGTAGCTGGGATTATAGGCGCGTGCCACCACGCCTGGCTAATTTTTTGTATTGTTAACAGAGACAGGGTTTCACCATGTTAGCCAGGATGGTCTTGATCTCCTAACCTCATGATCTGCCCGCCACAGCCTCCTAAAGTGCTGGGATTACAGGCGTGAGCCACCGCGCCCAGCTGGAGCAGGTCATTCTTATGAAGACACATGGACTGCATGTTGTCTTCATTATGGTGAGGTATACAAATAGCATTGACAGTGCAGCCTCAGAGGGAACACCCTCTCCTCCTGTTTTCTCTTTCTCTTGTTCTTCCCCTCTCCAGCCAAATATTTGAAATCGTAAATGATGTGGGACCTTGTGAAGTCTTCCTGTATCTTCGTTGTTGCTTTGGTCAAAACCTCATCCAAATATGGCAGTTAAAATCCTACCCAGGAAAGTCTCCATGAAGCAATGGGAAGTTTTAGGGGTGATCTCTATACAAATCGAAGTGCTTCTCAAAGAGAAGTGATTATTTGGACATTCATCTGCAAGAAAACCTTTGGTGATCACTATTTACTTTGGAGAGGGAGGTGTTTCCATAAGACATTTCCCCCAAGATTAATAGAAAGCAGGAAGGCATCTTCTAAGGAATTGTATGTGGTGCTACTGAAATTTGTTATCCCATAGAGCAGTAGGTGCTGATGCTCACATGAGCAGCCAGAACCGGAGGAGAGCGTCCGGAGGCCGCAGTGTGTGAACAGGCTGTTAGGGGCTTGTTTTAATCCAAAAGACACCAGGAAATCAGACCAGAACAAGGTGAGAGGAGAACTGGGACCACAGGTTCACCCAAACCAAGAAACAAGAGAAGCCAGGAGATCACATCTGTGCTACAGAAAGAGAAATGAAAGAAGGTTGGGTGAAATGAGGAGGAGTTTCTCTACCTGTAGGCCTGGAGGTACCTGGGCCAGGCTGTGACAGGCCATGGGTGTACCCTGGCAGCCTGCTCTCCCCGTCGTCTGACATTGATTGACCAACTCATTCATTCTTTTTTTTTTCGAGACGGAGTTTTGCTCTGTTGCTCAGGCTGGAGTGCAGTGGCACGTTCTCAGCTCCCTGCAACCTCCGCCCCCTGGGTTCAAGCAATTCTCCTGCCTCAACCTGAGTAGTTGGGACTACATGGCGCATGCCTACAGGCATGCGCCACCACGCCCGGCTGATTTTTGTATTTTTAGTACAGATGGGGTTTTGCCATGTTGGCCAGGCTGGTCACGAACTCCTGACCTCAGGTGATCCACCTGCCTCGGTCTCCCAAAGTGCTGGGATTACAGGTGTGAGCCACTGTGCCCGGCCTCATTCATTGTTTCATTCAACAGATATTACCAAGCACCTAGTACTCACCAGGCATTCTTCCAGATTCTGGGGATATAATAGTGAACAAGACAAACTATTTCCTTTACGGAAAGGAGGGGGTCAGCCCAATAAACAAACAAACATGTAAAAATGTCCTGGGAGACTATGGAGAAAAATAAGCAATGTAAGAGGATGGAGACCGTGTGTCCTGGGTGATTTGCTGTTTCATATAGAGTGCTCAGGAATGGGATCTCCAGTGATGGTGAGCAGAACCGAGAGGACGGGAGGGAGCAGGCTCTGCATTCTCTATTCAGGCAGAAACATTACAGACCTTAGTCACAGAGGACCTGGAAGGGCCCAGAACCTTCTATTACCAATAGGCTTTAGTATCCACACCTTTGGCCTAGCTCTCAAAATATTTATACTGGCCTCAGTGACACCTTATTTAATGAGATGCTTACATACTTTTTTTTTTATTTTAAAATTTGGATTCTAAGGTTATTCCAGAGGAAATATTTGTGGGTTTCTAATTAGTAGGTCCCACAACTGAATTAAGATGGAATGAGGCAGCCTGGGGGTTCAGAAAAGGCTCAGAAAAAAAATTTCACCAAGTGAAATTTCAGGTGAGACCTGAAGGTTGAGTGAGATTTAGCTGGGGTGGAAGGAAGGGCTGAGTGGCTCAGAGGAAACAGTATGTGCAAAGGCCCTGGGCTGGCTTGCTTATCCTGAAGATGTCATTTTCAAGATGACACCGTACAGTCTTGAATCTCCAAGCACAGGAAGGATACCTTCTCCTCAGTGTAAGCCAAAGCTGTTACGCACCATCCTCTCTGCAGGCATTTTGGTGTGTGCACATCCTCCCTTCCCTGCCCCATGCTGCTATTTGTGTGTTGGGGATCTTGTTTAATTAAAGAATCTTGATTCTGATTCTTTAATTTCTTAGAGCCCTCCCCAGAGCCTTGAAACCATTTTTTATGGCACCTGACGTGTATCTCCCTTGGGTCCTGAGGGTGTCAGGCCTTCTGGCCCTGAATTCCTGTTCTCTTGATTCATTGCCAGGCTTGGCTGGGCACTTATTCAGTGGCATCTGGAAAATAACTTTCCTGCTCCGTGTTTTAGCTTTTCAAAACTAAAACCATACCATTCTATAATCTCACAGTCATATTGTGATGTCTCCATTAAAAAAAAGTTTACAATGATTTGAAGAAAATCTTATATATTTAGTTTTGTACTAGATGGACTAGAGAACTAAAATATGTACTTATAAGTGTACTCAGGTTTTGGAAAAACTGATACATGGAAATTCTTATAGCATAATTCTATTTGGAGAGTATTTTTTCACCTTAAAAATCACTAGTAGTTTCCTTTAAATAATTTTCCCAGTGTAGTTAAAATCAGATCAAATTTTCAAAAAACTCAGTTCCTGTTCAGGCTTTCAGCATCTGTAGGGAGACATTCACTGGATAAGGAGAAGCACATCTGTATTGCTCTTTTGCCTTCCTCCACCCCCCACACCAGGACTTGCTAGGCCTCTCCCCCTGGAACCATCTCATTTCTAACCTTCAGGTGGACCCCTTTGTGCCCACCCGTAGATTCCATTTGGCCCAGATTCTGGAATCGGAGCTGCCCTTGGAATGCCCTGCACTCACTGGTCTTCTCTTGCTCCCAAGTCTACGCTAGCTACTGCCCCATCTCTTCACTCCTTTTTCCAACAAAGCTCTTCAGAAAGTAGTCTCCACTGATTGTCTCCAATCCTTCCCCTCCCATTATATCTTGAGCCCTTTGTTTTTTGAGACAGAGTCTCGCTCTGTTGCCCAGGCTGGAGTGCAGTGGCACCATCTTGGCTCATTGCAACCTCCGCTTCCCGAGTTCAAGGGATTCTCCTGCCTCAGCCTCCCAAGTAGCTGGGATTACAGGTGTGCACAACCACATCCGGCTTTTTTTTTTTTTTGAGACGGAGTCTCGCTCTGTCGCCAGGCTGGTGTGCAGTGGCGTGATCTCAGCTCACTGCAACCTCTGCCTCCCGGGTTCAAGTGATTCTCCTGCCTCAGCTTCCCGAATAGCTGGGACTACAGGCATGCGCCACCACGCCCAGCTAATTTTTGTATTTTTAGTAGAGATGGGGTTTCACCAAGTTGACTAGGATGGTCTCGATCTCCTGACCTCATGATCCGCCTGCCTCAGCCTCCCAAAGTGCTGGGATTACAGGCGTGAGCCACCGTGCCTGGTCTAATTTTTGTATTTTTAGTAGAGATGGGGTTTCACCACGTTGGCCAGGCTGGTCTCAAACTCCTGACCTCGAGTGATTCACCTGCCTCGGCCTCTCAACGTGCTGGAATTACAGGTATGAGCCACAGTACTTGGCCTTGAGCCCATTTTAATCAGGCTGTCACCCCTCTTCCTCCTCTCAAACAGGAGATCTACTGCCTTTGTCAAGGTCACCAGCCAAATCCAGTGGGCACTGCTCAGTCCTCCTGTTCCTATGGAGCTTGTTACTCTCTCTGCTGTCTCCCTGTCCTTGGCCTCTGGACCAGCATTCTCTCAACTTCTCCCCACTCCCTCACACTCTTTCCTGGATCTTTCTCTCCCTAATCCCCAACCACTGGAATATTCCAGGGCCCAATCTTCAGACTTCTCTCCTCACTGTACAGCAACTCCCTAGCTGGCATCATTTAGTCATGTGGCTTTAAATACAGTAGTCCCCTCTTCTCCGCAGTTTTACTTTTCTTGGTTCCAGTTACCCATGGTCACCTGTGGTCCCAAACTATAAGATATTTTGGGGCCAGGCACAGTGGCTCATGCCTGTAATCCCAGCATTTTGGGAGGCCGAGGAGGGCAGATCACTTAAGGTCGAGACCAGCCTGGCCAACAGAGTGAAACCCCATCTCTACTAAAAATACAAAAATTAGGCTGGACGCGGTGGCTCACACCTGTAATCCCAGCACTTTGGGAGGCGAAGGTGGATGGATCATGAAGTCAGGAGTTTGAGACCAGCCTGGCCAAGATGGTGAAACCCCATCTCTACTAAAACTACAAAAATTAGCCAGGTGTGGTGGCAGGGGCCTGTAATCCCAGCTACTCAAGTGGCTGAGGCAGGAGAATTGCTTGAACCCAGGAGGCAGAAGTTGCAGTGAGCGGAGGTCACACCATTGCACTCCAGACTGGGTGATAGAGCGACACTCTGTCTTGAAAGAGAAGAAAAAAAAAGAAAAAGAAAAAATTAGCCAGGCATGGTGGCACGTGCCTGTAGTCCCAGCTACTTGGGAGGCTGAGGCAGGAGAATCGCTTGAACCTGGGAGGTCCAGGTTGCAGTGAGCCGAAATGGTGCCACTGCATTCCAGCCTAGGTGACAGAGCAAGACTAGGTCTCAAAAAAAAAAAAGATATTTTGGGAGAGAGAGAGGCAGGGAGGAGAAAAGAGACTACATTCACATAACTTTTATTACAGTAGACTGTTTTAATTGTTCTAGTTTATTACCAGTTACTGTTAATTTCTTACTGTGCCTAATTTGTAAATTAAACTGTATCATGATTATGTATCTATGGGCAAAAACACAGTATATAGGGTTTGGTAATATCTGAGGTTTCAGGCCCACAGACCCACTGAGGGTCTTGGAAAGTATCCCCCACAGATAAGAGGGCACTTCTGTATATTGTGAAAACTACCAAATTCATATTTCAGCTGGGACTGCTCTTCTGAATGCCAGACTCATATCGTATCCAACTGCTGACTTGACATCTCCACCTGAACATTTAACAAGGCATCTCAAATTTAACATGTCCACAATGAAAGTCAGATTCTACCTTGCAAAACAGGCTCTTTCCAAAGTGTGAATAACGGCTTCCCAAAGATGTCCACATCCGAATCCCCAGAACTTGTGCATGCTACCATACAGGGCAAAAGGGACTTTGCAGATGTGAGAAAATTAAAGATCTTGAGAATGAGGAGATGCTGCTGGATTATGTGGGAGGGACCAATGTCATCACAAGGGTCCTTATAAGAGAGAGGGAGGAGGATCAGAGTCAGAAAGAGAAAGGAGATGTGACAGCTGAACCAGAGGCTGGAATGACGTACTCTGAAGATGGAGAAGAGGCCATGAGCCAGGAGATGCAGGCAGCCTCTAGATGCTGGAAAAGACAAGGAAATGGATTCTCCCTTGAAGCCTCCAGAAGGAACACAGCCCTGCCAACCCCTCGACTTTATCATTTATTTATTTATTTGTTTATTTATTTATTTATTTATTTTTGAGACACAGTCTCCCTCTGTTGCCCAGGCTGCAGTGTACTGGCATGATCTCAGCTCACTGCAACCTCCACCTCCCAGGTTCAATTATAGGCCTGCTCCACCACACCTAGCTAATTTTTTTTTTTTTGTATTTTTTGTAGAGACAGGGTTTCACCATGTTGGCAGGCTTGTCTTGACCTCAGGTGATCTCAGGTGATCCACCTGCCTTGGCCTCCCACAGTGCTGGGATTACAGGCACAAACCAAGCCACCACACCCAGACTCAACCCCTTGACTTTAGGCTTCTGACCTCCAGGACTGTAAGAGAGCATACTAGTGTTGTTTTAAGCCACTAAGGTTGTGATAGTTTGTTATGGTGGCAATAGGAAACCCATACACAAGCTTCCCCGTGTCAGTAAATGGTGACACCAGCCTTTTAGTTACTCCAGAGAGACACTGGTGTTGTCCTCATTTTTTTCTCCTTCTCACACCCCAAATCCAATTCATCAGCAAATCCTATTGGCTCTGTCTTCAAAATATATCCAGAATCCAACAACTGTTCACACCCGCCACCAGCTACACACTGGTCTCCTTTTTCATGGAGGACTACAGGCACCCCCTAGTGAGCCTGCGTGCTTCCCCCTCGCCCGTCTGCGGTCTATTCCACACAGCTGCCAGCGTGATCAGGTTAACCCAGAAGCCAGACTTTAGCATTCCTCTGTCATACCCTTCGATGGCTCCCCACCTCATGAGGAAGAGAAGGCCATGTCTTTACCATGGCCCACAGTGGCTCCCCCAGTCTGGCTCCTGGACACCTCCCTGAGCTCATCTTCTGTCCCTGCCTCCTGGCTCAAGCTCCAATCCCACCAGCAGGTGCTGCCTAGAGCGTCCTTCAGGAGCTGAGGCGTGCTCCTGGCTGCCACCCCTCGGATGCTGAGGTGGCCTTGGCTGGAGAGCGCTGTCCCCCTCAACACCCTATCTCACTCCCTTCTCAACGTAGCCAGTATCCAGTGGCTGAATGGTTTGGAGGTGTAAAGGCCTGTCCCCTCTCCCCAGCTCAGAGCAGCTCTGAAGGGCCATCCTATCTTCAACATCCCCATGGGGTTGTCTGGGGCTTTAGTTGAGACTGCATCACAGCTCATCCCCCTCTGCCCAGTCTTGCTTCCTGCCCCTCTTTCCCTTCCATGGTTTGATCCCAAGAGCACTTCCTAGTAAGCATCATATGTGTGCCAACCATCATCTCAGACACTGCTTTCCCTGACCTGTGAACCTGATCTCTTTGCTATACCAAAACACCCCAAGTACCCTTGATCTCAAAGCTTCTGCGGTAAGTGTTCCTTCCGCCCGCAAAGCTCTTCTCCCAGGTATTCAGGAAGTTTACCCTCTCCCTTCCTTCAAGTCTCTGCTCAAATGTCCCATGGCCTGTGGCCTTCCCTCACTACCTTATGTAAAATAGCAAACACCACCACCGTCACCAGCACGACGAACTCCATTATGCAGCTTTTTTCCCTATAGTATTTAACCTAATTAGATATATATTTCCTTGTTTATTCATCTTCTCTCACTATACTCCAGTTTCACGAAGGCAGATACTTGATCTACTTTGTTCATGGCTACTTCCATAATAACTAGAATAGTGCCTGCCACATAGTAGAGGCTTAGTACCGAGTCAGGCTGGTGCTGGTCTTGCTGTGACCTGATTCCAGTAATTGGCTCACCACCATAGCCCCTGTGATGAAAGTTTCGCCTTGAAGCTTTTCATCTTGACCCCTTTGATACCTTTGATTCTGTGTCAATGCCATCATGGCTTCCTTTATATCCTCCACAACTAAAGGCCCACCTGTGTTTTCCTCAGTCTTTCTAAAGTCCTACCCTGTGGCTTAGTCCCTCCATACCTGCCCTTAAGCTGGAGGAACCCCACCTCTCAGGCTCCAGGTGCACTTGTGTGGTGGATTACCGAAACTCTCCCACTCCAAGTCCCCATTCTCATCAACGTCCCTCCAGGGTCTGGCCAGGCTCCCTAAAAGCCCTGTCCAAACTATGAGCCACACCTTGACCTTCAGCATCAAAGAGGGCTTTACTGCAGGGGAGGAAGCTCCCATAAGAGCCAGAACGACCTGGGTGTGAGTCCCAGCTCTGGCATGTACCAGTGGGGCAGCCTTGGCAGGTCACTCACTTCCCTGAGCAATGGCTTACTCCCTGGTAAAGTTAAGTCAATGATGTCAGCCTCGCAGAGTGGCTGTGCAACAAGACATGAACATGTATGAAAACAGTCAGTAAATTTCTCCCGACTGAACTGAAATCCTCTGAAGCACCTGCCCTGTTGTGTTAAATGGAAAAGTGTGGTGTCCTTAGGAAGAAACTCTGACACTAGGTAGCTCTATGTGCAAAAGAATTTGCTGTGGGAAACCTTTCAGTACAACATGAAGTTCCATGATAATTCCAAACATATGTGAACGATATATAAGCTGTGTAGCAAAATCATATTGTCAGCCAAGTATACTAGGTCTAGGCATGATCTCAAGGATGGGAAAAGTTTGGCTTCACCTCTGAAAGGTAACCCTCAACCAAGAGGTAGCACAAAAGCATAATCGGTGGATGCGTTTCCCTCCCCCATCCATGCCTTGCCCAGATTTAATGGAAACATTTATACTAAACCTTGCCAAATTCACAGAAGTTTTTCCAGTTCCCATTACTTTGCTATTCAAAAGGAAGGGAGTAATCGCTTCAGAGGTAGGGTGTGGTACAGTACACTTAACAGAGTGCTGAAAGCAAGTTCAACACAGATGACCAATGTTGCCAGATTGCACAATTCTCGAGTTATTTTCGTGATGGGCAATGTTTTTCCTTTTTATTCCGTTTTCCTCCCTCTGGAGTTGGCTAATGATTTCCAGTGAATAGAACTCTGTCCAGTACAATCCAGTTAGCCCACAATGAACAGACTGTCAATGAGAGATGCTGCATTGACAGCCTTTATTTTAGTGGGCTCCCCGTATAGTAAAGATGGAAAAGGAACTGCTGTTGGGGGCATTCATTTGTAATTTGTGCTCTTGGTCTGGAAGTGGGCCATTAGCTCAGCAAAGATAATACAGAAACATACAATAAGGTCACCACTCTTTCTGAAGCCTGATCCATCATCTCTTGGAGAATCAATACCTGTATAGACACGTTATGAATGTGTTTAGTCTTTTCCTACGTGACCAGGTAGGAAGCTTCCTGGTCCAACCTGGGTGGGTGCTTCATGTTGGCTTGGCAGGTAGTGTCAGGCATCTGGAGATACAATACACATGTTTAGCTCCCTGCAATCAGCAGGCTGGTACATTCACTACCAGCTGCATTTTCTCTGTGATACTGCCGGAAAGAATGTGCTTAAAGTCACTATTGATTACTCTTTAATCCACACTATGTTAGGAGCAAAATTGAATCCGACAAGACATGGTATCTCTTTTCCACATACTTTGTGCATTCCAATAAAGAGGGCTGTCCTTGAGAGTATGAAGTGTGTATCCAAGAAGCCAGGCAGATTCCTTCGTATTCAGCCCACGGATTGTTCAGAGATTCCCAATTTCCTCCTGGGGAGTTGGGTGCAGGAGTCAAGAGAGATATTTGAGTCAGGGAATATTTCCCAAGAGGAGCCTTAGTATTTAAACATCCATTTTCTTTCTTTCTTTCTCTTTCTTTCTTTCTTTCTTTCTTTCTTTCTTTCTTTCCTTTCTTTCTTTCTTTCTTTCTTTCTTTCTTTCTTTCTTTCTCTTTCTCTCTTTCTTTCTTTTTTTTTTTTTTTGAGACAGAGTTTCACTCTTGTTCCCAGGCTGTAGTGCAATGGGCGTGATCTCAGCTCACTGCAACCTCCACCTCCTGGGTTCAAGCGATTCTCCTGTCTCAGCCTCCTGAGTAGCTGGGATTACAGGCGCCCGACAACAGGCCCGGCTAATTTTTGTATTTTTAATAGAGACGGGGTTTCACCATGGTGGTCAGGCTGGTCTTGAACTCCTGACCCCAGGTGATCCGCCTGCCTCAGCCCCCCAAAGTGCTGGGATTACAGGCGTGAGCCACCACGCCTGGCCCAGTTTTCATTTTTAAAAAATCTATTACATGCTCATGATAAAAAAAATTAAGCAGTGCACAGTGAAGAGTATACCCCCCTCACAGCATTCCCCCCTGCAGTTCCCATCCCCCCAGGCAACTACTGTTATGAATTTTTTTGTGTATCCTTCCAGAAAGAGTCTATGCATATAAGAGCAGCTTTGATTTTTGAGATGCATTTTTGTATGTTCAGTTCAAGTGGTTCACAAGATGCCTTTTCCAAATAACTCCATGGCAACGCAACTCTGGAACTCACACGCACATGGATGTATACATGGACACACACAGTCGTTCTTTTGAGCATAAAATGGAGGGGAAATGATGCAACAGAGAGTGAATAGAAGGCATATTCCAGTAAACCACAGTGGTTAGTGGCTTCTCAGATGGTTCCAGACAGCTTTTTATACAGAAATAGCTCAGTGAGAACACCCCAGCCTACTCAGACTGCAGAACAAATCCCAGGAACTTGCTTTTGTGCAATCTCCCCCTTGAAGCTCAAGTCTAAACACATCAGAGCTTGGCAGGGCTGCATGGGTACATTAGCGAACAGACAGAACACCCTGGCTCCTCAGGCGCTCCTTGTTTTTTTCCCTCTGGACCAGCAGATTTTTCTTACAGCTTACACCTGCTCCTCCCCGACCCCCAACAACATGCAGAAAAGGAAAGCCCCTCAAGTTTTCCTTGATCAAGAGGTTAAATAAAAAAACAACTCTCTTTCACACTCTAAGGGAAAGGAAAATAAAAACCACCAGTAGCTAAGACACACACACACACACACACACACACACAAACACACACACACATTTGGCAGAAATAAATTAAGAAAAATCATTCTATGTATGAGACCATTCTGAAACTAAGTGATGCATGATATTATGCAAATTTGCAAGGTGTATTTGTCCTCAGAATAGAGATGGCTGAATGGGAGTGATAGTGTCTTGATAAATTGTTGTTCTAGAAATTTTCCAGAACTGAAATGTGCAACAGGACATTTGAGAACTATCTTTTATCTAAATACTGATGTATTAATAATATAGCAGTATTAAAAGCACTGTCATAATTATTAGTAAAATTAGCTCATCTATAAGAGTCTGAATAAAAATGTCTCATCAAAAGCCAAATTCTAATGTAGGAGCCACATGGAAACCAATAGAAAAGAAACATTTCCACTGCATAGGCTGATATACTTGAAAATACAGGTCTTACTCCTGGTCAAAGAAATAGTTGTTTATACAGTTTTGAGGATACTGACAAGATCACTCTTAAGAAAATACTGCCTCACCTTCTGGCTAGTGCCTGAAAATCCTTTTCTAGTTGAGAAAACCTTAAATTCCTCAATAACAGATAAAGTATAATAGGCAAATTCCCCTGAAAAGAACAGCAATAATAATAATAATGCTAATTTCCTGAGCACTTACTTGTGGTAAATACGTTACTTTCGTTCTTACTCAGGACTCCACATGAATGATCTCCTTTAATCCCTGCAGAAGCTAATTTCCAAGATGGCTTCCTATAGCCCTTGCCTCTGCATATTCATGCCCTTCTGTGGGGGCTTTCCCTTCAATCTGAGTGGGCCCTGTGACTCTTTCGTAATCAACAGAATGAGGCAGAAGTGGTACCGTGTGGCCTTTGCAAGGCTAAATCAGGCCTTACAGCTTCTGCCTTGGTCCCTTAGGATGCTCATTCTGAGAAAGTCAACTGCTAAATACAAAATCCAATTATCCTGAAACCACCATGTTGTAAGGAAGCTCAAGCTAGCCATGTGGAGTAGCTGAGTGGAGAAAGAGATGCCTGGCCAGCCCTCAGCTATTCTAGCCAGATGTGTGAATGTAGAAGCCATCTTGGACATCCAGCTCCTTGTAGCTTGTGGATGGTTTGGGGCCCACCCAACTTCTGAGAATAGCTACATGTGAGACCCCAAGTGAAAACAGCCCAACTGGGCCCGGCCAACACACAGAATCATCAGAAATAGTAAAAAATTGCTATTTTAAGTCACTAAGTTTGGGGGTATTTTGTTACACAGCAATATGCAACTGAAACAATCCCGTATTTATGCTACAAGGTTTTTCGTTGTTGTTTTGTTTTGTTTTTCCAAGACATAGCCTTGCTCTGTCACCCAGGCTGAAGTGCAGTGGCACGATCTCAGCTCACTGCAACCTCTGCCTCCTGGGTTCAAGCAATTCTCCTGCCTCAGTACAGGTGTGTGCCACCATGCCCAGCTAATTTTTGTATTTTTAGTAGAGACAGGGTTTCACCATGTTGGCAAGGCTGGTCTCGAATTTCTGACCTTGTGATCCGCCTGCCTCGGCCTCCCAAAGTGCTGGGATTACAGGCGTGAGCCACCGCACCCGGCCTGTTTTTTTTCTTTTCTTTGTTTTTTTTTTGAGATGGAGTCTTGCTCTGTTGCCCAGGCTAGAGTGCAGTGGCGCAATCTCAGCTCACTGCAACCTCCGCCTCCCGAGTTCAAGTGATTCTCCTGCCTCAGCCTCCTGAGTAGCTGGGATTACAGGTGTGTGCCACCACACCCGGCTAAATTTTTCTGTATTTTTAGTAGAGCCAGGGTTTCACCATGTTGGCCAGGCTGGTCTTGAACCCCTGACCTCAAGTGATCCGCCTGCCTCGGCCTCCCAATGTGCTGGGATTACAGGCGTGAGCCACTGTGCCCAGCCTGCTACAAGGTTTTGAAGCTCACAATTAACTCTCCAACATCAATTTTACTGCTTCCTCGCTGTGCCATTTGAGGAACTGACCCCAGTCTACAGGTTCCCCTGATTAGTTTATGCTAGTAGCTCTCAAAGTGTGGTAGCATCATTGTCACCTGAGAACTTGTTAGGCAAATTCTCGGGCCCTTCTCTGGACCTACTGAATTCAAAACTCGGGCCAGCTGGGCGTGGTGACTCATGCCTGTAATCCCAGGACTTTGGGAGGCTGAGGCAGGCGGATCACAAGTGCAGGAGATCGAGACCATCCTGGCTAACATGGTGAAACCCCATCTCTACTAAAAAAAATAAAAATAAAATAAAAATAAAATTAAAAAAGCCAGGCATGGTGGCAGGCGCCTGTAATCCCAGCTACTCTGGAGGCTGAGGCAGGAGAATGGCTTGAACCTGGGAGGCGGAGGTTACAGTGAGCCAAGATCATGCCACTGCACTCCAGCCTGGGCGACAGAGCAAGACTCCGCCTCAAAAAAAAAAAAAAAAACAAAAAAAACAAAAAAAACAACTCCAGCTGAGGCCATCATCTGTGGGGTCTGATACATCCTTCAGGTTATTCTGATGCGTGCTCATGTTTGGGAACCACAGGTGTCTGTACCAGTCACGGTAATCCTATCCCTCCTTGCTAGTGACAACGAAAATGAGTGATGGAGGAATAAGTCTCGAATCATTGCGGTTTAGCAAGGCAGCTTAAAGGGAGTGCCCAGGAAAAATGCGAGTCACAGAAGCATCTGTGGCTGTTTTTTCCAAAGAGGGTCTCAGGAGGTTTAGCATTTATACATTTTCCTGAAGAAAGTGGGGCAGGGCATGAGACAAATGATTACATACTTGTGAGACTTTAGTTGGTGCTCATTTTTCCTAAGATAAGGTGAACATTTGAAGAAAAAGGGAATAGAGGAAGAAGATGTCTGAGGAGGGGTGAAGGTGTCTTTGTTCTGTACCTGGAAAGATAAACTAGTAGTCTTTTGAAAGGGCTGGTTTCTGTTTAGCCCTGAGGGAAGAAAACCTAATAGCTGTTATAGAGGTAGGGGGTATAATGAGGCGTGTCCAATCTCCCATCCCCTCATGGCCGTGAATTCAGCTTGCAAGATTCCCTTGGCCAAGAAGGGGTCTGTTCAGTCAGTTAGGGGCTTGGAATTTCATTTTTATTTCTTACTCGTGATTGACTTAGGAATCTAGGCTCAAGCCAATCAGCACATAGCATTCCCTTGATGTCAGTTATTAGTTTGTGGTTAAGGGAGTGGCCCTGTGTCTTTGTGGCAGCCATTCTGACTATGAAGGGAGCCAGGCTTAAAAGGCAGCTGACACTGAGGATGGAAAGCAGAGATGCAGAAAGAACCTAGGTCCTTGACACCAGGGTTCAATCAGCCTGTCCCATCTGTGAACTTCCAGTTACATAGGCCAATACATTTCCTTTTTGGTTAAACTCATTTGAGTTGGCTTTTCCGTTAGTTGCCGCTGAAAGCACGCTACCAGATACAGTAAGCATTATAATCCCTACTTTTACACAGGAGAGATTAGTTCAGACAACTAGGAAGCAGATGCGCTAGGATTTTTTTTTTTTTTTTAAGACAGAGTCTTGCGCTGTCACCCAGGCTGCAGTGCAGTGGCACGATCTCAGCTCACTGCAACCTCGGCCTCCTGGGTTCAAGCGATTCTTCTGCTTCAGACACCTAAGTAGCTGGGACTACAGGTGCACACCACCGCACCTGGCTAATTTTATGTATTTTTAGTAGAGACGGGGTTTCACCATGTTGGCCAGGCTGGTCTGGAACTCCTGACCTCAAGTGATCCTCCCACCTCAGCCTCCCAAAGTGCTGGAATTAGAGGCATGAGCCACTGTAGCCGGCCCATGCTAGGATTTGAATCCAGGTCTCTGTTGTTAAATCCCACTTTTATAATGAAGCCATCAATGGTGAGATTTGTCCCTTTCTGGAAAGTAGAGGGTTTTGGTGAGTTAGGGTACTAAGACTACAGGCGGGCAGTGGGCATCAGACAAAAGAAGGGATACCATGGAATGAGGAAAAGGTCGGGAGAGAGGAGGGAGGATGCATACAAGACAAATCACTCCTGCTTAAGTCTTTTCTGGGCCGGCCCCAGGCTCTGGTATTTCTTTATGTCCTTAAATCAAATGACGTCCTTTCTCTTCTCCTCTTCCCCAAAATGCAAGACCAACACTGGAAGAGTGGAAAGCCAGTGTTCCTTTGAGGAGGAGGCTGATTGGTCCAAGTAGTTCTATAAACTGCATCCACCCACATCACGCTACTCCAAAGACACTTTATAATCACAAAAGAAACAATCCGGAAGATTCCAGTTGTCAATGCAGCTTGAATTGTAGCAGCAGCAGACCTTGCCCAAAAACATATAACATGGCATAAAGTCAGGATTGTTATAACCTTGGGGATCCCAAGGCTCCGTGCTCCCTCCGTGGATGCCAACGTTTGCGGGGGCTCGTGTCTCTGTTCCGCTACACCGCTGCCTCCGACGCAGGTCTGCTTCATCTCTCCCACCACGTTTCCTGCCTCCTCTGGTGCCCCCCTCTGACAGTCATGTGGCTAATTTTAAACCGTAATCTGAAGCCCAGAACCGGGAAAGTCCCATGGTCCGAGGGTGGCCACAGCTAAAGGACACTCGGGAAACATGACAAAAGGCTTTGGAGAAATGAGGCAAACAGGAAGGGGACAACTTTCTCTCCAGTGAGGATCAAGAGTTTAAAATAAGAGCAGAACATCCTTGTTAAAAAATACTGCAAAGGGCTTTGTGCTAACTTGAAACTGATTGCTAAGGGAAGCAGATAGTAAGTGGAGCACTATTTTAGTACTAGGAAGGGACACCAGTAAGAGGACAGTCCTTCTGATGAGGTTTAATTATATAAACTAATTTCTTTTCTTTTCTTTTCTTTTTTTTTTTTTTTTTGAGACAGAGTCTTGCTCTGTTGCCCAGGCTGGAGTGCAGTGGCCCGATCTTGGCTCACTGCAACCTCTACCTCCCAGTTTCAAGTGATTCTGGTGCCTCAGCCTCCTGAGTAGCTAGGACTACAGGTGCCCACCACCACATCTGGCTCATTTTTGTATTCTTAGTAGAGACGTGTTTCACCATGTCGGCCAGGCTGGTCTCAAACTCCTGACCTCAGGTGATCTGCCCGCCTTGGCCTTCCAGTGTGCTAGGATTACAGGCATGAGCCACCACGCCCAGCCTATATAAACTAATTTCATCCTCCTAAGGACCACATGAGATAGGTATTACTATTACCCCTATTTCACTGAGGAGGAGACTGAGGCACTGAGAGGTTAAGTCATCTGCCCACCGTCATACAGGGTTCAAACCAAGGCAGCCTGGCTCTGGAGGGCACACTCCTTGCCAGGACACAAGGCAAGGAGTCCTGAGGAGGAGGAGTCCATGTTAGCTAACAAGGAGTTCATGTTAGCAGGGGTAAGCACAGAGAAGAATGGATGGGTCCAGACACCTTCTCAGAGGAAGTCAGTTTTGATAAAAAATGAAGATTGGCCGGGCACAGTGGCTCATGCCTGTAATCTCAGCACTTTGGGAGGCCGAGGCGGGAGGACTGCTTAAGCCCAGGAGTTTGAGACCAGCCTGGTGCAACATAGCAAGACCTTGTTTCTACTAAAAATAATTTTAAAAATTAGCTTAGGTGTGTTCCTATGATCCCAGCTACTCAGCTGAGAGGCCGAGGCAGGAGGACTGCTTAAGCCCAGGAGGTTGAGGATGCAGTGGGCCTTGATTGCCCCATTGCACTCCAGCCGGAACTACAGGAGAACTGTCTCAAAAAAGAAAGAAGAAAAAAAAAAAAGATGGAGATTCAGGGCAATGTTGAGAGTGAATGAGAATGAGTTATATTAAAAAAAAAAAAAAAAGGAAAAAGATTGCCCTTTTTGGTCTCCCTCCCTCCCTCCCTCCCTCCCTCCCTCCCTCCCTCCCTCCCTCTCTCTCTCTCTCTCTCTCTCTCTCTCTCTCTCGTTCTTTCTTTCGACACGGTCTCACTCTGTCGCTGGAGTACAGTGGCGCGATCATGGCTCCGCCTCCTGCGTTCAAGGGATCCTCTCCCTACTGCCTCAGCCTCCTGAGTAGCTGCAACCACAGGCGTGCGCCACCATGGCTCGCAATCGTCCCGCCTTGGCCTCCAGGGTTTGGGTTACCGGCGCGAGTCCCCGCGCCTGGCCTCGGTGGCTTATGACGGCCGTGGGGCGATGCGAATTTGCTCACGGAGGGCCCCGTCTTTGTGCGCTTCAGTGTTAGCGCTCCTGGATGCTAGTCCCGGGGCCTGTGTGCCCCGAGCTCCAGGCTGGACGCGCCTTGGGATCAGAGTTGCGGGGCTCAGAGGACGGCGGAATCGCTGGGCTCGCCGTCCTTAGTTCACCGATGAGGTACCTGAGCTTCGCGGAGATTTTGTGGGGCCCGGACCAGAACCTCCACGCTCCGGAGTCTCAGCCTAGGGTCCTGCGGCCACCCAACAACTCCCTGAACGACCTGGCCCAGCGGCCTGAGAGGGCCGGGCCTGCGACAGGAAGCCCGCGGAGAGGCCAGGAGGCCGCCTCAATCGCGGGGTTCTGAGCACACCCGTCTTGCCTGCCTGGGCCTGGGTCTGTCCGGAGTTTGGGGGAGCAGGGAGGAGGTCGCCAGGGCTCTCCTCTGGCGCGGGTGTCTTGGGGTCCCCGGGTCCAAGCGCTGAACCTCCCGCCTGGGGCCACGAAGCTGTTGGTGGCGCCCCCTTCTGGCTCCATGCGGACTCGTTCCCTGGAAGAAGCCTCCCTGTGGACAGGGAGCCCCTGCCCGCCACGCGCGACCGCCAGCCCGCACCCGCTGCAGGGGGCAGTGAGCAGGCCCTGCCCTGCCTTAGGAACCACAGTGCAGCTGGGCATACGCTCATAAACGGATGATTGCATTTTATTATTATTTTTATTTTTGAGACAGGGTCTGGCTTTGTTGCGCAGGCAGGAGTGCGGTGGCGCAATCTCGGCTCACTGCAGCCCCCAGCACCCAGTTTCAAATGATTCTCCTGCCTCAGCCTCCTGAGTAGCTGGGACCACAGGCATGCGCCACCATGCCTGGCTAATTAAAAAAAAAAAATTTTTTTTTTTAGAGATGGAGTCTGGCTCTGCTGCCCAGGCTATAAACTATGATCTCAGTTTCTCTCCTTGTGCTGATCAGAAGTAGACTTTGCCCCTTGTTGATCATTTTAAACGTAGGGATGATGACTAGATTGTTTCACTTCGTCATCACTAAATCCTTTTTTTCCTTTTTTTTTTTTTTTTTTAGACGAAGTTTTGCTCTTGTTGCTCAGGCTGGAGTACAATGGCGAAATCTCAGCTCACTGCAACCTCCACCTCCCAGGTTCAAGCACTTCTCCTGCCTCAGCCTCCCGAGTAGCTGGGATTACAGGTGCCTGCCACCACACACTGGCTAATTTTTTGTATTTTTAGTAGAGACGGGGTTTGCCCACCTTGGCCAGATTGGTCTCGAACTCCTGACCTCAGGTGATCCACCTGCCTTGGCCTGGCAAAGTGCTGGGATTACAGGCATAAGCCATTGCGCCCAGCCTAGTAAATCCTAATAAAAAGTGATTTGGGTTTTAACAGCAACCAAAGCATTTTCTTCTAAGGGAGAGGAGTCAGGAGTCATGGAAGGGGACCCACCACGGCGTCATTTGGACCCCAGGCTGGGCCTTCCAGCCACCATCTGTGAGCTCTGCAATGAAGCACAACATTCTCTGGCTTGGGTTCTTCATCTGTATATTGAAGATGTAGACGGATAGATGATTTCGGAGGTTCCTTTTAGCGTTACTACTTGCTTTTTCTTTTTTAAAAGAATGGTGCACTTTCTGAAGTTGTACTTTTTTAATGTCAGCTTTATTGAGACATATTTCAACACACAATTTACCCATTCAAAATGTGCAATTTAATGGTTTTTAGTATATTTACTGAGCTGTACAACTATCACTATGATTGATTTTAGAACAGTTTCATCACCTCAGAAACAAATCCTACCTGATTAGCAGTCACCCTCTATTTCACCCGAAGTCCTCCAGTTCCAGGCAACCATAAATCTACTTTTTATCTCTACGGATTGGCCTATTCTGGTGGCACTGTCTCATAGACACAGAAACACACCATCGGCCAGGTGAGGTGGCTCAAGCCTATAATCTCAGCACTTTGGGAGGTCAAGGCGGGCGGATCACTTGAGCTCAGAAGTTCAAGACCAGCCTGGCCAACATGGCGAAACCCCTGTCTACTAAAAATACAAAAATTAGCCGGGTGTGTTGGTGCGTGCCTGTAATCCCAGCTACTCTGGAGGCTGGGGCAGGAGAATCGCTTGAACCCAGGAGGTGGAGGTTGCAGTGAGCTGAGATCATACCACTGCACTCCAGCCTGGGACACAGCAAGACTCCATTTCAAAAAAAAAAAAAAAAGAAACACACCACCACCGGAATAGGCAAATATACCTTACATTTTTAACTCAGAAGAAGTTGGGGTGAAAAGATGGTGTGCCCTCCAAATGTCCCAATTTTTCCTGTGCTTTTTTGGGATCTGAAGTCCTGCTTTGCTGGAGAAGAGTAGGAGACACTCTTCTGGACTCCATTGATAGCTGAGAGCAGGCAAGAAGGGTTTTATGCAAATAAAGCGCAGATTTTGGATGAGATGTGAATGCTCGCAAGGGCCTGGTCAGGATTTGGGTAGCCCAACATTCTGGGGAAGTTTTTAAAAGTTGCTGAAATTTGTTTTACTTTTTCATGAAGTGTTGCAGATGGTCAACTTGGATGATTAAGAATGAGATATCCCAGGCCGGACGTGGTGGCTCATGCCTGTAATCCCAGCACTTTGGGAGGTAGAGGCGGGCGGATCACCAGGTCAGGAGTTCGAGACCAGCCTGGCCAACATGGTGAAACCCCGTCTCTACTAAAAATACAAAAATTAGCCAGGCGTGGTGGCAGGCTCCTGTAGTCCTAGCTAGTTGTGAGGCTAAGGCAGGAGAATCGCTTGAAACCGGAAGGCAGACGTTGCAGTGAGCAGAGATCACGCCACTGCACTCTAGCGTAGGCGAAAGAGCAAAACTCCGTCTCAAAAAAAGAAAATAAAAAGAATGAAATATCCCAGTTAATGATCTTGTCACAAAAGAAGGGTACTGAAAGCTGGGCTTGGTGGCTCACGCCTGTAACCCTAATGAGAGGTGACAGCGTGCTGGCAGTCCTCACAGCCCTCGCGCGCTCTCGGCACCTCCTCTGCCTGGGCTCCCACTTGGCGGCACTTGAGGAGCCCTTCAGCCCACTGCTGCACTGTGGGAGCCCCTTTCTGGGCTGGCCAAGGCGGAGCCGGCTCCCTCAGCTTGCAAGTAGGTGTGGAGAGAGGCGCGAGGGGGAACCAGGGCTGCGCAGCGCTTGCGGGCCAGCTGGAGTTCCAGGTGGGCGTGGGCTTGGCGGGCCCCGCACTCGCAGCAGCCGGCCGGCTCTGCCAGCCTAGGCAATGAGGGGCTTAGCACCCGGGCCAGTGGCTGCGAAGGGTGTACTGGGTTCCCCAACAGTGCCAGCCCACCGGCGCTGCTCTCGATTTCTCACCAAGCCTTAGCTGCCTTCCCGCGGGGCAGGGCTCGGGACCTGCAGCCTGTCATGCCTGAGCCTCCCACCCCCTTCATGGGCTCCTGTGCAGCCCGAGCCTCCCCAATGAGCGCCACCCCCTGCTCCACAGCGCCCAGTCCCGTCGACCACCCAAGGGCTGAAAAGTGCGGGCGCACGGCGCGGGACTGGCTGGCAGCTCTACCTGCAGCACCTATGCGGGATCCACTGGGTGAAGTCAGCTGGGATCCTGAGTCTGGTGGGGACGTGGAGAACCTTTATGTCTAGCTCAGGGATTGTAAATACACCAATTGGAACTCTGTATCTAGCTCAAGGTTTGTAAACACAGCAATCAGCACCCTGTGTCTAGCTCAGGGTTTGTGAATGCACCAATCGACACTCTGTATCTAGCTACTCTGGTGGGGCCTTGGAGAACCTTTGTGTCGACACTCTGTATCTAGCTAATCTGGTGGGGACGTGGAGAACCTTTGTGTCTAGCTCAGGGATTGTAAACGCACCAATCAGCGCCCTATCAAAACAGACTGCTCGGCTCTACCAATCAGCAGGATGTGGGTGGGGCCAGATAAGAGAATAAAAGCAGGCTGCCGGAACCAGCAGTGGCAAACCGCTCGGGTCTCCTTTCACGTTTTTGGAATGTGTTTTGCAATAAACCTTGCTAGTGCTTACTCTGTGGGTCTACATTGCTTTTTTGAGCTTTAATAGTCACTACAAAAATCTGCATCTTCACTCATAAGGCAGCGAGACCACGAACGCACCAGAAAGAAAAAACTCCAAACACATGTAAACATCAGAAGGAATAAGCTCCTGACGCGCCACCTTCAGAGCTGTAACACACCGCGAGGGTACGTGGCTTCATTCATAATTTCAATGAGATCAAGAACCTACCAGTTCCAGACATACTAGCGCTTTGGGAGACCAAGGCAGGCGGATTTCTTGAGTCCAGGAGTTCATAGACCAGCCTGGGGAACATGGCAACACTATCTACAAAAAAATACGAAAACTAGCTAGACATGGTAGTGCGTGCTTGTAGTCTCAGCTATATGAAGGGCTGAGGTAGGAGAATGGCTTGAGCATGAGGAGGCAGAGGTTGCAGTGAACTGAGATTGCACCACTGCACTCTGGGTGACAAGTGAGACCCTGTCTCAAAAACAAGGGTACTGAATCAAACAAGTATTTAAGGCCTAAACTCAGGGTGACTCTGAGACCCAAACAGTGGGCTCCATGTCAACATCAACCCCTTTATACGAAGATTCCCCAATAAAAATATAAATATTCACAATCACCCTGGGGTCTGCATGGAAGATTGATGTATAACACTTGAGAGCTTACGGATATGTCCATGGGTTACCTACGTTGTTTTAATACCTACTACAGTCTGTACCCTAGATACTCGAAGAAGAATGTTCTTTTACTAGGATACTGCATCTTAGTAAATTCACCTTAGTACCCTGGGGTGGTTGCCAGGGAGGGTACTAACAGAAGTTTGCTTGTTTGGTGGTTGGGCAAGTAATATTACTAGTAATTACTAGCAAAGGATTCCAGTTATTGCATGCAGACTACACATTTTATATGTAGGTATGGGGTTTTACTATTTATTTATTTATTTAGAGATGGAGTCTCACTCTGTTGCCCAGGCTGGAGTGCAGCGGAATGATCTCGTCTCAGGGCAACCTCCGCCTCCCAGGTTCAGGTTGTTCTCCTGCCTCAGTCTCCCGAGTAGCTGAGATTACAGGCACCTGCCACCATGCCCGACTAATTTTTTTGTATTTTTAGTAGAGACGGGGTTTAACCATCTTGGCCAGGTTGGTCTTGAACTCTTGACCTGTGATCCACCTGCCTCGGCCTCTCAAAGTGCTGGAATTACAGGCGTGAGCCACTGCACCTGGCCAGGGTTTTATTGTTTAGAAAATATTTTCATGTATTTGACCTCATTTGATCCTTACCACATGTGGTCAGCCAGGTAGGGTATCTATTCCCTGGAATCAGAATGCTTCGGTTTGACTCTGACGTCACCATTTATTAGCTATGTGTTCTTGGGCAAGTTACTTCAACTTTTTTATTACTATTTTTTTTTTTTTTTTTTTTTTTTTTTTGAGTCAGAGTCTCACTCTGTCACCCAGGCTGGAGTGCAGTGGCACAATTTCGGCTCACTGCAACCTCCACCTCCTGGATTCAGGTGATTCTCCTGCCTCAGCCTCCTGAGTAACTGGGATTATAAGTGCACGCCACTGTGCCTGGCTAATTTTAATATTTTTAGTAGAGACAGGATTTTGCCATGTTAGCCAGACTGGTCTTGAATTCCTGACTTCAGATGATCCACCTGCCTCGGCCTCCCAAAGTGCTGGGATTACAGGCATGAGCTACCACGCCAGGCCCACTTTTTTCTTTCTTTCTTTCTTTCTTTTTTTTTTTTAAATAAATAGAGATGGAGTTTCCCTATGTTGCCCAGGCTGGTCTCAAACTTCTGGGCTCAAGGGATCCTCCCAACTTCACCTCCCAAGATGTTGGGATTATAGGTGTGAGCCACCTCATCCAGTCTACTGAAACTTTCTATACCTCAGTATCTTCATCTGCAAAATAGAGATCACTGTAGTACTTACTTCATAGGGATGTGATGAAGATTAAATGAGATTGTGATTACTTTAAAACTATGCCTGGGCCGGGCGCGGTGGCTCACGCCTGTAATTCCAGCACTTTGGGAGGCTGAGGCGGGTGGATCACAAGGTCAGGAGTTCGAGACTAGGCTGGCCAACATGGTGAAACCGTGTCTGTACTAAAAATACAAAAAAAAAAAAAAAAAAAAAATTAGCCAGGCATCGTGGGAGGCACTTGTAATTCCAGCTCTTGGGAGGCTGGGGTAGGAGAATTGCTCGAACCCGGGAGGCGGACATTGCAGTGAGCTGAGATCAGCCACTGCATTCCAGTCTGGGTGACAGAGCAAGACTCTGTCTCGGAAAAACAAACAAACAAACAAAAAAACTATGTCTGGAGGCCAGGTGTAGTGGCTCATGCTTGTAATCCCAGCACTTTGAGAGGCCAAGGCAGGCAGATAGCTTGAGCTAAGGAGTTTGAGACCAGCCTGCGCAACATGGCGAAACTCCTTTTCCACCAAAAAATACAAAAAATTTGCCGGGTGTGGTGGTACATGCCTATAGTCCCAGCTACTTGGGAGGCTGAGGTGGGAGGATTGCTTGAGCCTGGGAGGTGGAGGCTGCAGTGACCTGAGATCTCTCCACTCTAGCCTGGGTGACAGAGCGAGACCCCAACCCCCACCAAAACAAAAAACAAACAAAAAACTACAGCTGGAATACAGTAAATAAATGCTCTATAAGCATTCCTATTATAATTATTGTTGTTGTTGTTTTCGAAACATAAGGACTAAGGTGCTCTGGACTGAATTTGTGTTCCCCCAAATTCCTGTGTTGAAACCCTGCTCCCTAGTGTGATGGTATGAGGAGGTGAGGAGGTCATAGGCATGGAGCCCTCATGATAGGATTAGTGCCCTTATAAGAAGAGACTCTAGGCCGGGCGCGGTGGCTCACGCCTGTAATCCCAGCACTTTGGGAGGCCGAGGCAGGCAGATCACAAGGTCAGGAGATCGAGACCATCCTGGCTAACACGGTGAAACCCCATCTCTACTAAAAATACAAAAAATTAGCCGGGCGTGATGGCGGGCGCCTGTAGTCCCAGCTACTCGGGAGGCTGAGGCAGGAGAATGGCGTGAACCCGGGAGGCGGAGCTTGCAGTGAGCCGAGATCGCGCCCCAGCACTCCAGCCTGGGCGACAGAGCAAGACTCCGTCTCAAAAAAAAAAAAAAGAAGAGACTCTAGAGAGCTTGTTTCCTCCGTCTCTCCACTCTGTGTGAGGACACAGCAAGAAAACAGCCATTTGTGAACCAGGAAGTGGGCTCTCACCAGACACCAGATCTGCCAGCCAGTACCATGATTTCAGACCTCCCAGCCTCCAGAATTGTGAGAGAGAAACGTTTGTTGTTGAAGCCGCCCAGTCTACGGTATTCTGTAATAGCAGTCCGGACTGACTAAGACTTAGGCTTGGCAAGGTCAAATGGTTTTCCCAAGAGTGCAACAAGTGGCAAGGTGGGGAGCTACGGCCAGGGCTCCTGACTCATAGTATTCTTACTGGTCAAATATCTGCCTGTAAAAACTGGTTTTTAGCAACCGTAACAAGATATCGTGCTGCTAAAACGAAATAATCATGGTTTTGTTAAGTCTCAGGAAAAAGGTAATAGGTACGGTTTTCTCCATCTTAAATGTTTTCCCATGGAGTTCTAAGCTTTGGAGATTTGCTACTGCTTGCCTACTAGCACTTGCTGGTGCTTACAACCAAGCAAAGGCATTCACATACATTTTTTCTTTCTTTCTTTTTTTTTTTTTTTTGAGATGGAGTTTCGCTCTTGTTGCCCAGGCTGGAATGCAATGGCGCAACCTTGGCTCACTGCAACCTCCACCTCCCAGGTTCAAGCAATTCTCCTGCCTTAGCCTCCCAAGTAACTGGGATTACAGGCATCTGCCACCATGCCCAGCTAATTTTTGTATTTTTAGTAGAGACGGGGTTTCACCATGTTGGCCAGGCTGGTCTCGAAGTCCTGACCTCAGGTGATCTGCCTGTCTCAGCCTCCCAAAGTGCTGGGATTACAGGCGTGAGTCACCGCGCCCAGCCCACATACATTTCTTTCTTTCTTTCTGTTTTTTTGTTTGTTTTGAGACAGGGTCCTGTTCTGTCATCCAGGCTGGAGTGCAGTGGCATGATCAGAGCTCACTGTAGCCTTGACCTCCTGGACTTGAGTGATCCTCCTGCCTGAGCCTCCTGCCTGCGTCATCACACCCAGCTAATTTTTTTTTTTTTTTTTTGAGAAGGAGTCTCGCTCCGTCCTCCAGGCTGGAGTGTAGTGGCGTGATCTCAGGTCACTGCAAGCTCCGTGTCCCGGGTTCACGCCATTCTCCTGCCTCAGCCTCCCACGTAGCTGGGACTACAGGCGCCTGCCACCATGCCTGGCTAATTTTTTGTATTTAATTTTTGTATTTTTTAGAGGTGGGGTTTCACCATGTTGTCCAGGCTCATTCACATAAATATTAATAGGGAAAGCTCAAAAAATTAATTCATGACTGCCTATAACCCCTGCCTCCCTGCCTTAAAAACCCTTACCTATATGCCTCAGATCTTAAGCATAAGCTGCCTGATTCTCCTTGCTTGGCACCCTACAAATAAACACCCTGCTTTCTACCACTACAAGCCTCGATACAGATATTTGACCTTACTACACAGGGCAAGTAGACCCCAGTTCGGCTCGATAACACTCCCTTCCCTTTAAAAGGGGCAGGAGTAGTTCAACAGCTTTTTTGTTTTCATAAGTATCCAACCTTGTGGTTAATTGCATACTGGTATCATAGCTGTATTTTCTGTTCCTAGGTTGGATGAAGGAATCGGATACATAAGTAATTTGCAGCATTCCACAAATTCAGTAGAGGACACAATGACTTCTAGGTTTACCACCCTATGAATAAGGCCGAGGGCCCTTACCAACCACGCATAAGCCACAGTCATCCCTTACCAACCACGAATTCTACCAAATATAAATTGATTTTAGTACTCTTTTCCCATAATCATGCAAATTTCAGACCAAGTATATATGATCTGAGTTATTCTTGTAGGTGATAGTTAGAAAAGATGGAACCAGGAAGCTGGAAAGAGGAGAGGGGTGGTGTACAGGAGTACATACTTTTGCCATGCACCCACCCTAAGGCAACAGAAGCAAAAGAAACAGGTGTTGGAATTCTACTCCTGCCCCTTTTAAAGGGAGGGGAGTGTTATTGAGCCAAACTAGGGTCTACTTGCCCAGTGTAGTAAGGTCAAATATCTATATTGAGGCTTGTAGTGGGAGAAAGGGGGGCGTTTATTTTATTTATTTATTTATGACAGATTTTTGCTCTGTCTCCCAGACTGGAGTGCAATGGCGTGATCTCTGCTCACTGCAACCTCTGCCTCCTAGGTTCAAGCGATTCTCCTTCCTCAGCCACCCAAGTAGCTGGGATTCCAGGCGCGTGCCACCACGCCAGGCTAATTTTTTGTATTTCTAGTAGAGATGGGGTTTCACCATGTTGGCCAGGCTGGTCTCAAACTCCTGACCTCAGGTGATCTGGGGGTGTTTATTTGTAGGGTGTCAAGCAAGGAGAATCAGGCAGCTCATGCTTAAGACCCGAGGCTTACAGGTAAGGGTTTTTAAAGGCGGGAAGGCAGAGGTTATAGGCAGTCATAAATTAATATATGGAGGCTACATGCTGGCTTCTCATATAAAGGAGGACATCTCGATGTGAGGACCCATAGGTCATAGGTGGATTTAAAGATTTATTGATTTGTAATTGGTTAAAAAAGAGCTTTGTTTAAAGATTTGAGGTCAGTAGAAAAGAATGGTAGCTCTGGCTCGAGGGTGTGACTTTTTGTAGCCTGCTCAGGAAGAAGAAATTTAGAACAAAGAACAGTGGTTACAGTTTAGCCATCAGTTCTCCCTTATTTGAGGTTTAAGTGCCAGTGGATCCATTCGGTGGGGATCTGGGTTTCTGAAAAACAACCGAGGGATATATGCTCACATGTTATCTTTAGTTTTTGTTGTTGTTTTGTTTTTGTTTTTGTTTTGAGACAGTCTCGCTCTGTCCCCCAGGCTGGAGTGCAATGGTGCGATCTCAGCTAACTGCAACCTCCGTCTTCCAGGTTCAAGCGATTCTCCTGCCTCAGCTTCCCGAGTAGCTGGGTTTACAGGTGCCTGCCACCATGCTTAGCTAATTTTTGTATTTTTAGTAGAGACAGGGTTTCACCATATTGATCAGGCTGGTCTCGAACTCCTGACCTCAGGTGATCCACCCACCTCAGCCTCCCAAAGTGGTGGGATTACAGGCATGCACCACCACACCTGGCCATTATCATTAGTTTTTATAGGGAACACAAATATCTCATGACTTTAACTTTTTTGCTATTGTTTCTTTAATTAATTTTTTGCTTATTGTTCATTTTTAGGGCTAGTTAGGTGCCTGGAATTTATTATTTATTTATTTATTTTGAGACGGAGTCTCGCCCTGTCACCCAGGCTGGAGTGCAGTGGCTCGATCTTGGCTCACTGCAACCTCCGCCTCCCAGGTTCAAGCAATTCTCCTGCCTCAGCCTCCCAAGTAGCTGGGACTACAGGCGCATGCCACCATGCCCGGATAATTTTTGTACTTTTAGTAGAGACGGGGTTTCACCATCTTGGTGAGGCTGGTCTCGAACTCCTGACCTCCGGTGATCCACTCACCTCAGCCTCCCAAAGTGCTGAGATTACAGGCATGAGCCAGCATGCCCGGCCTGGAATTTTTTTTCAGTAACTCAATACTTTAAAATTTTTTATTTTATGTGGGGTTTGGTAGGCCTCTAAAGGGTTCCTGCTCCTTCTTAGGTGTTGTACCTAGGTTATGCTACTCTTATTTAATTAAAACAATATGGCAAAGCCAACACTATACAAGGGGACTTCAAAAAGTTCATGCAAAATGCATATTATGAAAAAAAACTATGTATGGATTTTAAGATGTTTTTGCACCAACATAAACGCACACTAACTTGTAACATGTCTAAACAGAACCTAGTTTGAGGCACGAAGAAGGATACTACATCAGTCTGAAAACAGTCTGGGCATGCCGGGCGTGGTGGCTCATGCCTGTAATCCTAGCACTTCGGGAGGCTGAGGCGGGTGGATCACAAGGTCAGGAGTTTGAGACCAGCCTGGCCAACATGGTGAAACTCTGTCTCTACTAAAAATACAAAAATTAGCTGGGCGTGGTGGCACGTGCCTGTAATCCCAGCTACTTGGGAGGCTGAGGCAGAAGAACTGCTTGAACCTGGGAGGCAGAGGTTGCAGTGAGCCAAGATCGTACCACTGCACTCCAGCCTGGGCAACAGAGTGACACTCTGCCTCAAAAAGAAAAAAAAAATTAAAAAATTAGCCAGGCATGGTGGTGCGTGCCTGTAGTCCCGGCTACTCAGGAGGCTGATGTGGGAGGATCGCTTGAGCTCAGAAGGTCGAGAATGCAGTGAGCCAAAATCTCACCACTGCACTCCAGCCTGGGTGACAGAGAATAGACCGTGTCTCAAAAAAACCAAAAAACAAAAAACAGAGGCCAGGCACAGTAGCTCATTACTGTAAATCCTAGCACTTTAGGAGGCTGAGGCGGGAGGATTACTTGAGGCCAGGAGTTCAAGACCACCCTGGCCAACAAAGTGAGACCCTGTCTCAATTTATTTTAAATGAAAATAGTAATTAATTTTTTTTTTTTTTAAGAAAATAGGCTGGGCACAGTGGCTCACTCCTGTAATTGCTCTTGGGAGGTCAAGGCGGGAAGATTGCTTGAGCTCAGGAATTTGAGACCAAACTGGGCAATATGGCAAAATCCCATGTGTACCAAAAATACAAAAATTAGCCAGGTGTGGTGGCAAGCCTGTAGTCTCAGCCACCTCAGAGGCTGAGGTGGGAGGATGGCTTGAGCCTGGAAGGCAGAGGCTACAGTGAGCTGAGATTGCGCCACTGCACTCCAGCCTGGGCAAAGGAGCAAATCCCTGTCTCAAAACAAAAAACAAAAAACCAAAAAACAAAAAACCTGTAAAGGGCACCCAATTTTCTTCAGTTAATAATATAAAAAAGACTGCATTGATATGGTTAAGTTCCCAGGACCCTCAGTTCCTTAAGGATGGACTACCTGGCTGGTATCATTGCTTACAAGAGTGTTGACCTTGATGAAGCTTATATTGAGAAATAAAGTTTATACTTTTAATTTTTATCTTCTAGTTCCATTTTTCCACAAACTTTTTGAAGTCCCTTTGTATAAATCAGTGAGTTTTGAGAAATGCCCAAGTGTGTATGTGGATTCTTTTTTTTTTTTTTTTTTTTTTTTGAGACAGGGTCTCACTCTTTCATCCAGGCTGGAGTACAGTGGCACAATCATGGCTCATTGCAGCCTTGACCTCCCAGGCTCAAGTGATCCTCCCACCTCAGCCTCCTGAGTAGCTGGGACTACAGGTGTATGCCACCACACCTGGCTAATTTTTGTATATTGTGTAGAGACAGTGTTTCACCATGTTGCCCAGGCTGGTCTCGAACTCCTGAGCAAAAGCCATCCACCCACCTTGGCCTCTCAAAGTGCTAGGACTATAGGCGTGAGCCTCCGCGCCCGGCCTATGTGGATTTTTTTTTTTTTTTTTTTTTTTTTGAGATGGAGTCTTGCTCTTTCACCCAGCCTGGAGTGCAGTGGCATGATTTCAGCTCACTGTAACCTCCGCCCCCTGGCTTCAGCCCCCCGAGTAGCTGGGATTACAGGTGCATGCCACCACGCCTGGCTAATTTTTGTATTTTTAGTAGAGACGGGGTTTCTCCATGTTGAACAGGCTGGTGTCGAACTCCTGACCTCAGGTGATCCACCCCTTGCCTTCCCAAAGTGCTGGGATTACAGGCGTAAGCCACCGTGCTGGCCGTGGATTTTTTGGTTAACTTTTTTTTTTTTCCCCTCAAGCATCTGAGTTAATCCAGAACTATAGTGGGGTCCTAGAAACTAGCCATAACATTAAAAAAAGTAATTTAAGATTCGGTAGAGAGCTGGTAAAATTATGTGAAACAGAATGAACCGAAATTACCACATGACACTGGAAATCAAAGGAGGGGACATTCTGCAGTATTTCTAGCTACTAAGCGATGGCAACTTAACACTCGCTGTATGGTTCTCTTCAGTTTGCAGCCTGTGTTTTATTTTTGTGAACCTGGTAACCAATGCTGATGAATGCCCATCCGAAAACCACTTCCAACTTCTTCTTCCTTGTCCACCTCCTACCAGAGGAGCGGAAAAAGCTAAAAATTCCATTTTGCAACCAGTCTGTGTGACCCAATCCTGTTCTAAGAGACACGCGGGGGTTCCTGTGGCAGGGAAGATTCTGGAAAAGATTTTTCTCCCTGATTTAAAGGAGAGAGACACATGAGAAGGGCCCTTTCGCACCTCCCTCCCTTCTTGATAGCACCCTCCTCTGGGTGCTATCGTGAGGATGTGATGCCTGGAGCGGTGGTAGCCCCCTTGAGATCAGATAAACCCCCAGCCTGAAGCTGAAAGCTGACACGTATAGGAAGGTAAGAAAGGAAAGACCAAAGGAGCTCCAATCCTTGTAGGCACTGTTGAGCTGCCAATCCAACCCTGAGGATCACCCATTTTAGATTTAAGAAACAGAAGTTCTTAGGTGTAAGCCACTGCTCATTTCACATTAACTGCAGTTGACAGCATCCACGGGATACAAATGTCAACAAAATACATGTAAGCGTTTTCATGAGGTCACTGTGTATCTTGATCCTCCAGGCCTCCATCTTTTCCTCACGAAGTCTGTTCAAATTTTCACAGAGATTCTTTTTTGTTTTGAGACAGAGTCTCACACTATTGCCTGGGCTGGAGTGCAACGGCATAATCTCTGCTCACTGCAACCTCTGCCTCCCGGGTTCAAGTGATTCTCCTGCCTCAGCCTCCCGAGTAGCTGGGATTACAGGCACCTGCCACCATGCCTGGCTTATTTTTTTGTATTTTTTAGTAGAGACGGGGTTTCACTATGTTGGCCAGGCTGGTCTTGAACTCCTGACCCTGTGATCCACCCACCTCAGCCTCCCAAAGAGTTGGGATTACAGG
This sequence comes from Homo sapiens, assembly GCF_000001405.40. Taxonomy (NCBI): domain Eukaryota; kingdom Metazoa; phylum Chordata; class Mammalia; order Primates; family Hominidae; genus Homo; species Homo sapiens. Next base: position 13,783,424 of record NC_000006.12, read on the forward strand.
CATGAGCCACTGCGCCCGGCCTCACAGAGATTCTTGAGGTTAGAGAGAGACACTCTCTATTACAGCGCCCCTCAGAAGGCTGTGAGGTTCATGCACTCCATAAAATACTACACAAATGTAAAAGACAAATAGTAGCAAAATACTTCTGTGTTAGGAAAAGACACTGACTTTCATGCTGTAGGGGACAAGATGCTATGAAGCAACTGTGTCTTTTCCACTGGGGGAATGAACACTGTGAAGCCTGGAGGTGGCGGAGCAAGAAGTATTTTTAAAACCTTTGTTGTTAAGACGTTAACTGCAGAAATGCCACACTAAGCTGAAACCGGGAGTGCCTCTTCCTGGCTTTAACATTAAGCTGACCTGAACCTTCAGAATCATGGACAACCAATCAGAGTTTACCGAAACATAGAGTATGTGCAAAACAAAAAACAAACAAACAAACAAACAAAAAAATTAGTTTAAACTGAAAGGGCAAGTTGGGACCTTATAAAATGCCTACATGTTTCAACTACTCATTGCGGAAGGTGTTGCCTAAAAATACTTATCTGCAGATTTGTGATATATAAAAGAAGACCAAAATCTCACTGATCTCTATTTAAGGATGCTGATGCTTACACCTTGGTGGCTGACAGTGGCCACCCTCTGCAGTGTCCCAAAGGCCACCCTCCTTGGGTCCTTGGCAAGAACCTCCTACAGAAACTGCCGAGTTAAGGTGGAGACAAAATGGGCAGCGGAACAACTGGAGGAGATCTGCTGTGGGATGCCAGAGAGAAAGCTGTTTCTAGAAAATGCCTTTAAGACAATCTTCTTAGTTTTAAAGAAATCAGCCAGGCGCGGTGGCTCACGCCTGTAATCCTAGCACTTTGGGAGGCCGAGGTGGGTAGATCACCTGAGGTCAGGAGTTAGAGACCAGCCTGGCCAACATGGTGAAACCCCGTCTTTACTAAAAATACAAAATAATTAGCTGGGCGTGGTGGCGGGCACTTGTAATCCCAGTTACTCAGGAGGCTGAGGCAGGAGAATCGCTTGAATCCAGGAGGCAGAGGTTGTAGTGAGCCGAGATGGCGCCATTGTACGCCAGCCTGGGCGACAGAGCGAGACTCCGTCTCAAAAAAAAAAAAAAAAGAAAAAGAAATCATGGCTATGAGTGGTGGCTCACGCCTCTAATCTCAGCACTTTGGGAGGCTGAGGTGGGCGGATTACTTGAGGTCAGGAGTTCATGACCAGCCTGGCCAACATGGTGAAACTCCGTCTCTACAAAAAATACAAAAATTAGCCGGACGTGGTGGCAGGCGCCTGTAATCCCAGCTACTTGGGAGACTGAGGCAGAATTGCCTGAACCCGAGAGGCAGAGGTTGCAGTGAGCCGAGATCACAACACTGCACTCCAGCCTGGGCGACAAGAGCAAAACTCCATCTCAAAAAAAAAAAAAAAAAAAGGAAAAGAAAAAGAAATAAAAAACTCAAGGCAAAGAAAAGGTTTTTAGTTTGTTCCCCTACCACTGATGTGAAATGGGGACCTAGGGGAGATGTGGAAGGATGACTAAAATCTAACACATTGCCCACCATTTTTGAACTTGAAGGTTGAGTTTGCAAATCATTTACCGCCTTTGCCTACCTCATCTGCTAGTTGCCTTCTGGAAATTTTGCAGTTCCCCCTCAAGTCTAGTTATTTGATTCTAACTTTGGTACAAGATTTCTGGTTGGAGAAAATGAGATGTAACTGAAATTTCCAGGCTACCATTCATTCATTCACTTTAGATACAGGGTCTTGCTTTGTGGTCCAGGTTAGTCTCGAACTCCTGGCCTCAAGTGATCCTCCTGCCTTGGCCTCCCAAAGAGCTGGGATTACAGATGTGAGCCACCGTGCCCAGACCTGTATTTCATTTACCCCCTTTTCTGAGATGTTCCTTTCCTCTCCTCCTGAGCAGGTATTAATTACACTGAAGATCAACCCACACAGGCTGACTCAAGAAGAGCTCAATTTTTTGGAGGTGGGGAATTTGCTCAACAGGCCCTCAGGGAAGGTGAAGTGTGCATCCCTCTGAGGACCCTTCTGCTTCCTGTGACCCCAGCTGCTTGCTTTAGATATTTCCTTCCCAAGATTTTTCAGGGTGGAGCTCACTAATCATTAAGCTGTAAGGGGATGTACTGGGTGTTTCCTGCAGACACACAGGCTCTCTGTGCTTGAAGAAGTAGGTCTAGGAGGATTATGCCCTCCAGAGAAGAAGCAAAGGTAAGAGGTGCAGAGGGGAGTTCTCACAATGGCATTTTTTTGGTCCTTCCTGAACCTTGGTTACATAAGCCAAAAAAGGATATTCTTTTTTCTGCTCAAGCTAGCCTGATTTGGATTTCCATGAATCCTTATAGCTATTTTTATTTTATTTTGAGACAGGGTCTGGCTCTGTCACCCAGGCTGGAGTGCAGTGGCACAACCACAGCTCACTGCAGCCTCTACCTCCTGGGCTCAAGCCATCCTCCCATCTCAGCCTCCTGAGTAGCTAGGACTACAGGTGTGTGCCACCACATCCGGCTAATTTTTCTATTTTCTGTAGAGACAGGGTTTCACCATGTTAGCCAGGCTGGTCTCGAACTCCAGGACTCAAGTGACCCACCCGCCTTGGCCTCTCACAGTACTGGGATTACAGACAAGACCAACCGTGCCCGGCCAGATATTTTTTAAAATTGTGTATTTCTCAGCCAGGTGCAGTGGCTCATGCCTGTAGTACCAGCACTTGGGAGGCTGAGGCAGGAGGATGGCTTAAGCCTAGAAGTTTGAGACCAGCCTGGGCAACATAGTGAGACACCATCTCTGCAAAGAATAGAAAAAAAATTAGCTGGGTGTGGTGGCGCATGCCCGTGGTCCCAGCTACTTGGGTCCCAGGCTGAGGTGGGAGGATCGCTTGAGCCTGGGAGGTCGAGGCTGCCATGAGCAGTGACTGCGCCAATGCACTCCATCCAGCCTAGGCAATAGTAGTATCTTGTCTCAAAAGAAAAAAAAAAAAGAAAATTGTCTATTTCTAAAAACCTGTATTTAAACCTCATCATTTCCCCTCAAACAAGTAGCTTGTATAAAATTACTCATAACATGAACATGCTAAAGAAATTCTTTTGAATGATGAAAAGTTACTTTGTACATTATATTAAAATTTATTTTCTATGTATACCCAAATTTTCAAGTATTAGATTTACTTAGAAATTCACCAGTGTTATCATTATACAATTGGCTGGAATTAACAGTTGCAATACAGTTATTCTAGCTTTTCATATTCAATTTGAATGATCAGAAAAGTATATTAGTCACACAGAATTAAATATTTTAGATAGTAAGAATCTTACACTTTATTAGATAATAAAACATAATTGATATTTGCTTAAGTAACAAAAAAGTTAAGAAATTGGGTTATAAGCAAAGGAACATAAGTGTAAAATGTGTAGAAAGATAAATATTTTCCAAATAAAATTCTAATAAAAGGCTAAACATTCTCAAATATTTTACATACATGAAGAATAAATTATTTCTGGTTAACATGTTTTTGCCTTAGTGCCAAAAAAGCCAGAACAAATTTGATAAGCTCACATTAAAATCAAAGTTTTCTAGATATGAATTCTATATACCATCTCTATATTTGTTTAGAATTTTGCAAAATTCTTAGAAGATTGCATGTTAGGGTGGGGGAAGATAAATGCTTGCCAATACTGACATGGTTAATTAACAGACAGGCTTGAAAGGAGAAGGCTAGAAGAGGGAAGATTATGTCACTAAGCATAGCTACAAAAGGAAAAGCCACATGGAAGCAGAGACAAAGGCAATCCCGACACACAGAGGCATGTTTGTTGCGGCTCAGGGTTTCTGTTTTTCAAGTGTTCAGAGACGAATTCCAGCAAGACTTCTGGTTTGAGTCAAGCCTTTCAACCGAGGTGCTTGGCATACTTAACGGAAAAAGCGAGTACATTCAGATTTAGTTTTGCTAGATATTAAACTAGAAAACTGGATGACAGTAAAACCAATACAGAAACAAAAAGTCATGTTTCCAGTAAAGAACCGTACACACAAGCAGGTTTTGCTTATTAATGTAGCAGGAGAGCATGGAAATCGGAGTTCAGACTCTTTAGAAAAGACAAAAGGCAGGGGAGGGGAGAGAAGAAAAGGAGGAATGCAGAGAAGCCCTCCAAGAATGATGAGTGATTCGTGCAGGAGAGGGAAATACAGACGTTCCGTCCATGTGAGATTCTGCTTCAGGTATTGGACATCGTTCCCTCCACCTGCACCTAGAGGATATGTGTTCAGGATCTCGCTATGGTTAGTTACCCATGTGCTAGACATAGGTTGCTAGCTAGAAGTTTTGCCAGCCATCTTCCCCCCTCCTAGTGCTAATGCCTAATTTCCTAAAGTAATCTGAATCCTTATAAGCCAGGGTAGCTCAGGAGGTTCTATTTACTTATTTATTTATTTTGAGACAGAGTCTCACTGTGTCGCCCAGGCAGATCTCGTCTGGGCCCGAGTCTCGTTGCAGTGGTGTAATCTCTGCTCACTGCAACCTCTGCCTCCCAGGTTCATGCAATTTTCCTGTCTCAGCCTCCCGAGTAGCTAGGATTACAGGGGTGTGCCACCACGCCTGGCTAATTTTTCTATTTTTAGTAGCGAGAGCATTTCGTCATGTTGGCCAGTCTGGTCTCCAACTCCTGACCTCAGGTGATCTGCCTGCCTTGGCCTCCCAAAGTGCTGGGATTATAGGCATGAGCCACCGCACCCAGCATCAGTAAGTTTTAATATTACGTCTAGTCGGCTCACGGGTGCTTGAGCCAGAAGTGGGAAGGGTACACTTGTATTTTGGGCTCAAATGGTTTTCAAATAAAATACATCTGACCAAATAAAGTGAACACAGTCCTGAGCCCTCCTCTCTCCAGATATGCATGCAATCCACACCATCAAAAGAAGAGTTCACTGTTCCCAAGGCCAAGAAGAGGCTATGCTGTACTGCAAAGAACTCTATAGCAAAATCGAACACCCAAATTAAGTGCCAGAATGATGCAGCCCGCTCTCACCAGGAAGAACGACATGTGAGAAAACTTATAGCAGATGCAAAAATGTCAACCCACCATGTTATTTAAAAAAAAATTTTATCAGGATACAAGGACACTTCACTGTTTTTAACCCACACAAGGTTAGGTAATGTTTACCTTGAAACATAATCGCATATGGCCCTTTATGCCACTCACCTAGGCCTTTAATAATGAGGGCAATTGCTAAGTGTGCTGTCTCTTCTGGGGACTTCTCTCTGAAAGGGGGATGATATATTGATAAAATATTTTATTAATCAGTTAAGAATTTTTGATCTACTTGAAAAAGATTAAATTATAATATTTCACTTTGAAACTGCTATTGCTCATGCAAAAGTACTTGATTTTCATACTATATGGAGCTCACAATCTTTGGACTACACAAACATTCTCTAAAAGGGCAATGACTTATATTTTCCAAAGTTTAGACATGACATCCAAAGGACAAAAGGTAACTATTTTTTTTACCAATGTGGTTGGAACAGTGACAACGAGCAATGTATTCACCAAACTGATCAAAAAATCTGCCTGTGGTTCCTTCACTGTATGTGTGTGCAGAGAAAGGCAGAAAAGCTTCTATCCATGTCATTGTCTCTCTTGCCCATGTGCCAGTAATTTGAATAAGATGAGAATGGGCCAGGCGCAGCGGCTCACGCCTGTAATCCCACTACTTTGGGAGACCAAGGCGGGTGAATCACGAGGTCAGGAGTTAGAGACCAGCCTGGCCAACATGGTGAAACCTCATCTCTACTAAAAATACAAAAATTAGCTGGGCGTGGTGGTGGGCACCTGTAATCCCAGCTACTCAGGAGACTGAGGCAGGAGAATCGCTTGAACCCAGGAGGCAGAGGTTGCAGTGAGCAGAGATCACGACAATGCACTCCAGCCCTGCGACAGTGCGAGACTCCGTCTCAAAAAAAAAAAAAAGGTGAGAATGTGCTTTTCCAGAATAACCCCAGTTGTATCTAGAATTTGTTTTCAATATAAAGGCAGGTATGAGAATGTTTTGAACAACAGAATTAATCCATCTAGATTAGAATGCTGTGTGGCATGACCATTCTCGAATTTTGAAAGCCTGAGCTGGTTGTGGGCAAGGGGATATTCATTAATGACATAAATTTCATTTATGAAATATGTATCCATCATCTAGGTATCTTATACATGGAGAGCTGACTGCATCCCTTGTATAAAAAGTAAATGAAGACCGGAAGGAAGCAGACTTTGTCCTGCAAACTGAAGCAAAGTTCCATGCTAAGAATCAGCAGGTTTTCTAGGTAGGTAATGCCACCAGTGGAGGATTATTACAGTTCTCAAATCATGAGGGAAAGAGATGGAGAAGAGGGAGGGAGGAGGGAAAATCTTGCATTCTAAGAGGTAAGAGTCCCCATTACAATTGCAATGCTTCTTTAGACAGCTGATTTTTCTGGCTGGAAGGCACATTAAAAATAACCCTAACAATAACTTACCAAGACAATGGAAATCAAAAGAAAAGAAGGTAGACGTGCAGCTGTCTTATTAACATGACAACCAACTACAGCTGAAACAATACTATGGTACAGGGACTAGCTCATGTTAAAGACTGGTTATTTAGGTAAAGAGGATCTGGTGCTCTTGGTTTAGCTTCAGTGATTTTCCAGCACTTATTAAAGCCATTGTGCCCTGAACATGGAGACCCCCAAATCCTCTATGTGCCAAAGATTAAGTTGTAGAGAATTACATCAATGTTTGCTGTTGGTGTGCACCACAGATGAGACCAAGCTTCCTGGTCCGGCTAAGTGGAATCTTCCATGCACTGTGCACCACTCAGCTAGAAAGTCAACTAAGCAGAAAGGAGATAAGGAATGGCTATGGAATACCTGACTTCTTTATCTTGGTTATGTGTCCACAATTTTCATAAAAATAAATAATACACATTAAGTCAAAATCTGGGCTCAAATGTGTAACAAGAAAACAAAAGGACAACAATCTGGTATTCCGGTTTTTTTTTTTTTTTTGAGACGGAGTCTCGCTCTGTTGCCCAGGCTGGAGTGCAGTGACGTGATCTCGGCTCACTACAAGCTCCGCCTCCCAGGTTCACACCTTAGCCTCCCGAGTAGCTGGGACTACAGGCGCCCGCCACCACGCCCGCCTAATGTTTTAATTTTTTAGTAGAGACGGGGTTTCACCGTGTTGGCCAGGCTGGTCTCGAACTCCTGACCTCAGGTAATCCACCTGCCTCAGCCTCCCAAAGTGCTGGAATTACAGGTGTGAGCCACCGCACCCAGCCAACAATCTGGTATTCTTAAGGCAAAACAGTAGAAATCACTTTAAATAGACACTTTATTAGATCCACAGGCGATAAAATCCCAGAGCTACTGTTAGGCACGTAAATATAGACCCTGTAAGAAAAAAACAATTGAGAGTACTATTAGTTCTATTAAGAGTTACTTGAGGGAACATCTTTTTTTAAGAAAACCTAAAAAAGAAAACCTAGAAACTTAGATTGCTCACTGATGTCCCATATTCCGTGAAACGCCTGCCTACTGAAAAAACAAATCCCACACCCTTTATTTTATTTTCTTATTTTAGAGACATGGTCTCATCTGGTACCCAGGAGGAGTGCACCATGCAATGGTATGATTACAGCTCACTGTGCCTCAAACTCCCGGGCTCAAGTGACCCTCCTGCCTCAGCCTCCCAAGAAGCTGAAGCTACAGGCAGATGACACCATGCCCGGCTAAATCTTTTTGTAGAGACTAGGTCTCGCTGTGTTGCCTAGGCTAAGAAAACTTTTCAATAAAAGTTTCGAATAGCAAAAATTCTGTGGTCACAAGGTCTATGTATATGCACTATAGAGACAGGAAGACACAATTTAATATAAAGAACAACATTTCACTGTTAAATAATGCTGTAACCTTAAAATATTTAATTAATCCAAGACGTTAAATCTGACTTGAAATAATGGTTAATTTGGGTGGGGGGTGGTACATGAATGTTCATTCTCTCTTTTGGATCAAAAATCGCGAAAGTAAAATAACTCCTTAAAAGGAGTTTAAGCAATTGAAGCAGAAAGATTACAACTGAAACACCTTCCATTTTATCCATAAAATATTTCCTGTCTTGAATCTCATTAAAATCCCTAATAACTATAGTTCAATTATAGTATCTTATCAAATTTCCAATTCTATCAATTATAACGTACACAATTACTTTATTTACTACTAAGAAAGAAAAAGTGCCAATTAAACTATGATACTTCATCTACTGGAAATTGTAAGATGCTTTCCAATTTCAGAGATGTTAAAATATTTCAGAAAGTGTTGGAATCAATGAAATGCAGTATCTGTCAACGACTTATTTTATAAATTTATTTTCTTTTCAGGTTGATTTAAATAGATACAAAATAGCTTACCTGCTAAATATTTAATATTATCAAGCTTGTGTGACTCAAGCATGGTTTTGAGGCCAGCAACCTCAGTTTCGATCTTCCTGTCTGTCTGGGTAAGGGCCCGATCTTGCTGGGCATGCTTTTAAAATGAAGAGAGTCACAGCGTTAGACCACAGCACGTCCCCTCTGCTCACCATCCTATAGCTCCTTCCCAACGGGGTGCAGTCACAGGGAAACCTGGGTAAGACTATGGAGGCCTGGGCTTTAGTCTCAGTTCTAAAACCCTAATTCTACGCTGCATTGGTCAGGACCCTTAACCTCTCTAGGCCTTAGTTTTCTTCTATTTGAAAAAATGAAAACAGAACAAAACGAAACAACCAAGCCAGTGGCCCTGCCTTTACCTGGACTGTTTAGAGAATCAAATGCGATAATCTATGTGAAAAAGCATTTGTAAGCTCTAGGTTGCTATACAAATGATGTGGTATTATGAGGCCAGTCTGTTCTCAAAGGCAACGGCTACGTCTCATCCTTCTAAATCCTCCTTAGTCAAAGATAGACAGTAAACTCAAAAATGTTTTCAAGAAATGGAGTCTTAGATAATGTGAAAGCGGCAGTGCTTGTCTTGAGCTATTTCTAGTCATATTTTTAAAAAACTTTCTTCTTTCATGTTCAAATATCAAGTGTTTCATTACTATGAGGCTTGGCTACCCACGGCCAATTTGTGTCCTTCCCCAAATACAATACAGTTAAACTGGACACATAATCAACCCTCAAAAAGGCAGTGGGTTTGGCCGACGCTATAGGGGGTTGTAGAACTGCATTAAAGCATAAAAACCATGGGAATCCTTCACTAAAACTCCTACAGCAACTAAATCTTTCCCTATGGCTACCAATTCAGGCAGAGAAAAAAAGAAATAAATGCCTGGATGCGTAAAAAAGTATTCCAGAGAAATATCCCAGGATTCTGGAATTCTCTCATGAAAGCCTCTTGGGGGTTTCAGAGGTCCCAGGTTCCATACAGTATGGAAAAGGAGAAATGTATGCTATAAATTAAAAATAGAATAAGACTTCTCCATTCCTCACTATTCTTCAATTACTGAGATTTAAACTTTCTTAATAAAACTTCCGTTAAGAAAAACAAACTCTCAAGTAGGGCATGGTGGTGTGAGCCTGTGGTCCCAGCTACTCTACAGGCTGAGGTGAAGGAGGGTGCAGTGAGCTGAGATTGAGCCACTGCACTCCAGCCTGGGTGACAGAGCGAGACCCCACCTCAAAAAAAAAAAAAAAAAAAAAGAAAGAAGAAAAGGAAACTTTCATTAAGAAAGTTTAAATCTTTCATAGGATAACTATCTTCCATTACGATAACCAAACACTTTGTGAAGTGCAAAAAATCCTGTGACACTCCACTTCTGCATATATACCCAAAAGAACTGAAAGCAGGGATCCCAACAGACATCTGTGCACCCATGCCCACAGCAGCACTATTCACAAAGGCCAACGGGTGGAAGCAACACAAGTGCCCTTGACAGACGAATAAAGAAAATGTGGCATATACATATAATGGAATACTAATCAGCCTTAAAAAGGAAGAAAGTCCTGTCATTTCAACAACATGGATGAACCTTCAGGACACTGTGTTAAGTGAAATAAGCCAGCCACAAAAAGACAAATGCTATGATTCTATTTATATGAGGTATGTAGAATAGTCAAATCCATAGACAGTAGAATGGAGGTCACCAGAGGCTGGAAAAGGGAATGTATAAAGGGTGCAGAGTTTCAATTTTGCAAAATAAAGAGTTCTGTGATAGCCAGTGGCGATGGTTGCCCCAAAATGTGAATGTACTTTAAATGTACTGAACTGTACACTTAAAAAATGGTTAAGATCCTAATTTTTATGTTGTGTGTATTTTAGCACAATGTAAAAAATTCCCATGACAGTAAACCTGCATGTAACTTCCTATTATCATTACAAACAACCATGCATGGAACGAAGCAAAGATGAGTACAAAGACAAAGAAAAATCACAGTCTTGTTTCTTACCAATGCCACTATTTCTGTTCTCAATTCCAGCAGCTTCTTTTCGTTCAATGAATACTGAAATAAACACGTAACATGGGTCAGATTCTGATCTACTCCTCTCTCTTCTCCTTCTCTGGTGCCTTAAATATTCTGGTCTCAGTACCTCCTAGAATACGTAACACCAGAAAGTCACCTCTGGGATTAAGTAGCCTACCTGCTTCTTTATATGTGTTACTTGAGGTTTCTTTTTTTTTTTTTTCCATAGAGATGGGGCTTTGCCATGTTGCCCAGGCTGGTCTCAAACTTCTGAGCTCGAGCAATCTGCCCACCTCGGCCTCCCAAGGTGCTGGGATTACAAGCATGACCTGCCGTGCTGGCTAAAGTTTCTTATTTATACTTACTCATTCCTCTAATATCTGGATTTCCTTAGTCATCTGTCACTTCTCCCTGCATATTTCCTGTGATGTCTTTAGGTCCCTCCCACTATTGTAGTAGCACTCCCTGGGGACCAATTTCGAAGGATGCTGAGTCATATGGTTTTTGGTTTTGAGAGGGTTGAAAATGGAGACTCAACTCAATTTAGGAGCTATCCCATCATAACTAGTAGCAAAACACGTCACTACTTGAGTCTCAACAAAAGACAGAAAAGGTATGAAGTTGGGGAACAAATAGCTGCCAAGGATTATTATTCTATGACAAAGACATTGTGTTGTGATTATAAAATACAATGTAAATACATAAATACACTAACTCATCACATGTTGGGTTTTTTTTTTTTTGGCTTGGTTTTTTGTTTTGAGATGGAGTCTCACTCTATTCCCAGGCTGGAGTGCAGTGGCTTGATCTGGGGTCCCTGCAACCTCTGCCTCCCAGGTTCAAGCAATTCTCCTGCCTTAGCCTCCTGCACATGTTGGTTTTAATAACAATAAAAAAACCCACTTGGGCGTAGCCATAATCCAGCGTTACTAAAGGAACTAATTCTACCCAGAGTTAAAGTATCTCGCCTTTTGGCTATTAATGTCAGTGAAAAGATTTAGTGCAGTTTTGTAGACAGTAAGATTGAAATCAGACTTATCTCCTTAGTAGTGGGCAACAAGATTTAATTGAGCATATGACAATCAGTAATTTGAATGACGACTTTTAAGAACTACATTAACCTTGTTATAGAAAGAAAAAGTTAATCCTTTGAAGTATATAGAAACTTCCTAGCTATAAAATATTCTCCTGGGACTACTGGGAGCTTAGAAGTAGAAAAAAAAAAAAGAAAAAAAAGAGAAAGAGAAACAAAAACAAAAACAAAAAACCCCAAAACCCTAAGCCAAGGAGTAGGTTGTAAAACCAAGAACAATGCTCTTTAAACCTCAGGGTTTCAGACCAGGAGAGCCCGATGCATCAGATCACCACTAGAGGGCGGCGTGGAACAAGATTTTGTGCACCACTAAACCTCAGTCTTCATTAACTCAACATTGACTCACCCACAAAAGAAGAGCCTAAATATTGACGCTGTCATGGTTTTAAAAATAACATCTATGTAGCTCTATATCCCCATGCCCCAGAAGTTTATATGCCATACTGCTTTTGGAACTGGCTGTAAATATCATAGTTAATTTGCAATTTAATATTTAACATTATAACTTTACCGAAAGAACGAGAGCCAGAAAACTCATCTTCACCAATGCATGTTACAAACACACTCGCTGTATAATTTACTACTGCCTTGTGCTTCAGAGTAATCCAAGTTTATGATTACCAAGAACAACCTCCCCGCTAGGTTACTAAATGACATAAATTCACTGGCTTGATGGGAGCTAAGCTATGATGCAAAGGCAAAAGGATGATACAGTGGACTTTGAGGACTTGGGGGAAAGGGTAGGAGGTGGGTGAGGGGCAAGACTACACATTGGGTACAGTGTACGCTGCTAGGGTGATGGGGGCACCAAAAATCTCAGAAATCACCTCTAAATAACGTCTTCATGTAACCAAACACCACCTGTTCCCCCAAAACCCACTGAAATTAAAATAATGAAACACTAAAAAAAGACTATAAGAACAATTCATAGTCACAGTTACTGTTCAAATATACCACAGACACTTTTGTGTCATGTAGAAAAAGTTACTATCATGATGGACAGGATTTAATTGAAACTCTGTGCATTGGTTGCTTTCTGGAGATTAAGGTCAATATAGTCATTCCAGATAAAGTAATTACATGTAAATCATATTTATCAGCATATTTAACTAGTAAATTCAAGTAAAATAAAATCAGGGTAAGTATTTTGAGTGCTGCATTATCAAGTCTGCAAAATATTATAAGCTTTACTTTTCTTATAAGAACACTGAATGAATCCACTCTATATATCCAATAATTTAAAAATATGAGTATTTGCAAGAATGAAATTTCATCATTTTTTTTCTTTTCTTTTTTTTTTTTTTGAGACAGGGTCTCACTCTGTCACCCAGGCTGGAGTGCAGTGGCGTGATCTCGGCTCACTGCAATCTCTGCCTCCTGGGTTCAAATGATTCTTCTGCCTCAGTCTCCCGAGTAGCTGAGACTACAGGTGGGCCATCACGCTGGGCTAATTTTTGTATTTTTGGTAGAGACAGGGTTTCACCACGTTGGCCAGGCTGGCCTCGAACTCCTGACCTCAGGTGATCCACCCACCTTGACCTCCCAAAGTGCTGGGATTACAGGTGTGAGCCACCATGCCCGGCAGAAATTTTTTCATTTTGGTTTAAAGACTAAAACTGTAATTGTGAAAAAAATTTCTGGAAAATTTTTGTTTGCTGGATGATGTTAATGACTTAAAATGAGTAAAATCTAAATGTTACATGATTGAAAAATGTACATATATATCAGCCTAGTTATGTTATTAAAATGACTCCATATAAAATTTTAAAAAAATTCACTGGCTTTAATCTACATTCATGCCCTGTATTTCCTGATGTCCTTGATGTAGTTTTTCCCAGGTTGGTTAGCTACACACAGTCATTTTCCTATATCAAGTGAATTCAGTTCTTCCTGAGTATACAACCCATAAAGATAAAGGTAACCAAAAGAGTTTCTCCTCTTCCAGACACCAGTGACATGCTATAGTCAGTAACTATTTAGTAACACTAGGTGATTTAATCTTTATGGGTGGAGACTGTTGTTGTAAGACTAGAAAGACAGGTAACACAGCCTTAATAATTATTTTGTATAACGAAGCTTGGATTAACTCTTGAAATCCAGTGGCAGTTCCAAAACACAAGTAGGTTACTTTTTTGAGTTTCAGTATTAGCTTCACTTATCATTATAGCACATTTTATCTAAAAGCAAATTGTCAAAAATGAGAAAACAACAAACAGTTGTGAGTACTCAGTTTCTGCATGTGTATTCAGTTTTGTGTTAGTGCAAGATGCTCTCTCTGCCCTATTTCTCATTATGCTAAGAATAAAAAAGGCACCTGATGTTACCAAATTCAAATAAAGTCTGAGCAAGAAGACGGCTGAATATTCAGACAGGGTTAAAAATCACTAGAGGCAACCCGACACATATCTTTATTAAAACACACTTAGGCCGGGCGCGGTGGCTCACTCCAGTAATCCCAGCACTTTGGAAGGCCGAGGTGGGCGGATCACGAGGTCAGGAGATCGACACCATCCTGGCTAACACGGTGAAACCCCGTCTCTACTAAAAATACAAAAAATTAGCTGGGCGTGGTGGCAGGGGCCTGTAGTCCCAGCTACTCTGGAGGCTGAGGCAGGAGAATGACGTGAACCCGGGAGGCGAAGCTTGCAGTGAGCTGAGATCACACCACTGCACTCCAGCCTGGGTGACAGAGCGAGACTCCGCCTCAAACAAAAACAAAGAAAAAAAAAACACACTTGCCGGCCAGGCGCAGTGGCTCACTCCAGTGATCCCAGCACTTTAGGAGGACAAGGTGGGCAGATCACTTGAGGTTAGGAGTTTGAGACCAGCCTGGCCAACATGGTGAAACCCTGTCTCTACTAAAAATATAAAAACTAGCCAGGTGTGGTGGTGGCGTCTGTAATCCCAGCTACTCGGGAGGCTGAGGCAGGAGAATTGCTTAAACCCAGGAGACGGAGGTTGCAGTGGGCAGACACGGTGCCACTGCACTCCGGCCTCGGCAACACACTGAGACTCTGTCTCAAAAAAAACAAAAATAGAAAACAAAACAAAATACCCTCACAACTTCTCACTGCACTTAAAAGACAACATAGAAATTTTCTTTTTTTTTTTGAGATGGAGTTTTGCTCTTGTCACCCAGGCTAGAGAGCAGTGGCACAATCTCAGCTCACTGCAACCTCTGCCTCCTGGGTTCAAGCGATTCTCCTGCCTCAGCCTCCCGAGTAGCTGGGATTACAGGTGCCCGCCACCATGCCCGGCTTATTTTTTGTATTTTTAGTACAGACAGGGTTTCACCATGTTGGGCAGGCACGCTGCCTCGAACTCCTGACCTTAGGTGATCTGCCCATCTTGGCCTCCCAAAGTAGTGGGATTACAGGCGTGAGCTACCGCGCCCGGCCAGAAATGTTTTAATCTTGAATTCCAGTATATAATTTAATATTATTTAATGTTAATAATTTACTATTATTCAAGCCTGAAATAATCAACTTAACTTTTACAAGATCAAGACCTATGAAGATTTAAGTCAGTATTAAATAGATCAAGATTGCATTTAATTTCTTTATGAATCTCTATGTAACATATCTCTAATATTTCTGAAACAAATATTCAAACTGACTAATTTGACTAGGAGTTTAATTTTAATGTTACTTTTGAAAGCAACAAATTTAAGTCTTAATCCAAAATTATTATAATAGAGAAAATACAGCCTAACACTGATAAACAGATAAATATTTAACAGTACCTATGACATGTACATAAACTTAGGCTTAACCAAGCATTCCATTCCAAAAATAAATTAATTCATAATGTGTTTTTAGTAAAGGAACGTACCAATTCTTTTACTCTGCTCTTTTCTAGGTTGAAGTCTAATTTGGTATCTGTTCGGACTTTGATCACTTCATCCTAAAAGGAGGGCAAACAACAAAGAAGGAAAAATCCAAAGTAAGAAACCCAAACTCTATGAGGACGTGACACTGGGACCACTGCCCCCACTGTCCCTATCCTAGGCGAGGCAACCCAGGGAGGGAGAGAGCCAGGGGCTTCCAGAGAAATGGACCTAGGCCTCCTGGCATCAGGGAACTCTGGCCAAGCCACATCTGGAGGCAGCCTGTCCCAGGACTTCCCAGTTAGACACAAATAACCCCCTTCTATGCTTATGCCAGTCTAGAGTGGGTTGTTGCTGCCATTTTTTTTTTTTTTTTGAGATGGAGTCTCACTCTGTCAACCAGGCTGGAGTGCAATGGGGTGATCTCTGCTCACGCAACTTCTGCCTCCTGCGTTCAAGCAATTCTCCTGTACCAGCCTCCTGAGTAGCTGGGATTATAGGTGCATGCCACCACGTCTGGCTAATTTTTGTATGTTTAGTAGAGATGGGGTTTCACCATGTTGGTCAGGCTGGTGTTGAACTCCTGACCTTGTGATCTACCCACCTCAGCCTCCCAAAGTGCTGGGAGTACTGGCGTGAGCCATCGCGCCCGGCCTGTTGCTGCTTTTAACCTCAAGACTCCTCATACAATCTCCGAATGGAACTTATGAATAAAGCTGATCTTAAACAACTTTGGAAAGCAAAGATGGACTCAAAGCAGCAAAATATTAAAATCCAGTTTACATAGAGCCTTTTCTCTGATACATATCAAAGCCTTTTTTTCTTTAACATCTATGTTTTTTCTATTTAAAAAACATTAAATAGCTGGCACAGTAAGCATTTAAAAATCACGTGTGATTCTCTAAAGACAGTCTAAGAGAATTTAAGGGTTCCTTCCGTGCAGCACTTTAGAAAAACTTTTACTTAAAAATGACTTAATTCCTCCTAGAACACAATTTTCTTTTTTTTTTTTTTTTTTTTTTTGAGACAGTTTCGTTCTTGTTACCACGGCTGGAGTGCAATGGCGCAATCTCGGCTCACTGCAACCTCTGCTTCCTGGGTTCAAGTGATTCTCCTGCCTCAGTCTCCCAAGTAGCTGGGATTACAGGCACCTGCCACCATGCCCACTTAATTTTTGTATTTTTAGTAGAGACAGGGTTTCACTATGTTGGCCAAGCTGGTCTGAACTCCTGACCTCAGGTGATCCACCCACCTCGGCCTCCCAAAGTGCTGGGATTACAGGCATGAGCCACCATGCCTGGCCACAATTTTCTTAATGAATATGGTTACAGACAACAGTAATTCATTCATTGGCTGTGTTCTTAGCTAAATCTTCCAATGTGTACTTTTGAGGCATATTACACAAACATTTCACAAAGAATTAAGTTTTTAAAAACATCCATTTCTAATATTATACTTATTAATAAGTTTATATAATTACAAACCAGCCAACAAACAGGAAAGTGAATCTTACCATTACTTGTTGTTTTAACTGATGTAGTTCGAGTTTTATTTTCTAAAAACACATAAAAAAAAAGTC
Organism: Homo sapiens; assembly: GCF_000001405.40. Taxonomy (NCBI): domain Eukaryota; kingdom Metazoa; phylum Chordata; class Mammalia; order Primates; family Hominidae; genus Homo; species Homo sapiens. The sequence continues at coordinate 13,800,407 of NC_000006.12, forward strand.
ATTAGAAAGAACAACATAAAACGTAGTAACCAACAAATATTACAATACATATTTATGCACAAGTTCCTCAGGTTTTTCCTTCATTCAGAACACCGTATTGATTGCAGAATGGCATTACAACACACGTATCTTGAAATCAGTTTGAATTCATCTTGAAGGCTATGTAAAGTTAACTCAGTTGTGTTTGGCATACACATTTGCCTTCAGTGACCCTGCTTTATTTAGTATCTCCTTCGGTTTATCTTTTAACTAATCCTACCCTCAAATAACTGATTTCAAGAACAACCTAGAGAGTCTGAAACTTTACCACTTTACTTTTTGCTAGAAGGTTTCTTACAAGGCTAGGGTCAACAGGCAATAAATGGCCTTCCCTATTATGGGACTTTAAATAGGACCGAAAATAAAAGGAAAATGCATAGACAGCACTTATTTAAATGCTGATCCCATATGCTCTGTTTAAAGAAACACAAGAGATATTTCGCAGTAGCAATTATTCAAAATAACCAAAAACTGGAAACAATTCTAATACACATTACAATAAAATGATGGGGCCTATTGATGTTAAGACTATAGACAATGAAAAAAATGATCTCTTGCTACAAGACACACAGTATGATACCATCAAATGGTTCTAGAATAGGCGAAACTAGTTAATGGTGTTATCAGCCAGGACAGCGTTTCCTCTGGGGCAGGAGCAACTGAGAGGCATGAGAGAGACTTCTGGGACAGTGGGCAAGTTTTCCTGCTCGATCTGACTGGAAGTGCACACTGTTTGAAAATTCACTGAGATGTACACTTAACGTGTGCTCTTTTATGTGTATATAATTTATCTCAATGTCTTAATATAATCAACTTTCTAAGTGTGAGAGGCTCTGTTTTACCTCATTTTCTGCTCTGAGGGCTGAAAATTCACTCTTCTCCAAAATAATCATATCCTTTTTCACATTCGCAATCTGAGACATTACTTGCTGAAAAGTGATTTCCTAGGAAAAGAAAAACAAAACACATAATCTAGTCTACCCTAAAAAGTCCACTTCCTATCATCTCAATGTGCTATCTTCTTATTGAGAAACCAGGACAATGTGGACACAAAAAGAGGTTCAGTAGGGTCATCCTTTATTCCAAAAGGGGAAAAGGAAAAGAAAAAAACAACACATATCTGGCCAGGCAAGGTGGCTCACACCTGTAATCCCAATACCTGGGGAGGCCAAGGCAGGTGGATCACTTGAGCCAAGGAGTTCGAGACCAGCTTAAGCAACATGGTGAAACCCCATCTCTACCAAAAGTACAAAAATTAGCCAGCTGTAGCAGTGCACGGCTGTAGTCCCAGCTACTTGGGAGGCTGATGTGGGAGGATCACTTGAACCCAGGAGGTCAACGAGGCTGCAGTGAGCTGAGACTGCACCACTGCACTCCAGCCTGGGCAAATGAGTGATACCCTGTCTCAAAAAGACCCCCCCAAAACACAAAAAAACAAAAACCACATATCTGGTTATTGTTACCAAGTGAATCACAGCTAAAAGGGTGGTGATGTGAAGACTCGAGAACATGATGCTATAATACTACAATTCAGGCCACGTCTCCATTTATTAAAGTATATTTCACTGGAATAATTTTGAACAGTGAGCTTTCAAGCATAACGATTCTACAACTGTTGACTAAATAGTTCTGAGTAAGTATTTTTTATGCCACTGTAATCTTTTGCCTCTTAATCATGGTAAAAGTTACTATATACTTTTCAACGGGGTATTATCCAAAAAATTATATTAAAACATTACTACAAATAATACCCCATCTTCACAGTCCTAATTTGCTAAACCACCCAACAAGGCTAACCTGCTGCATCTTGGTGACCATATCTTTGTAGACGATGTCCATGTTGGCCTCCAGGATCTTGACCAATGCAGACACAATGATTTCTGCTTGTTGAGTAGCAAACCCTAAGCAAGCACACAAGCAAAAAAAATCATGCTCAGAGTTACAAAAGCCCACAGCAAATGCACACATTCATGTGAATGTCCAAATCCAGGAGGAAGAGTACAGCACAGTGTGGTAGGAGGCAGGGAGGAGGGTACAGCCACAAACTATGACGTGCCGGTCACTCAGAGCAAGCACGAAACATACAAGTTGGCTTCCCCAGGTACCGGTGGCTTTGCTGACTGATCTGTAAGTCGTTCCTAGCTATCAAAAGTCATGTTTTCAGAGACTATTTAATGACATAGACAATGCCGGCAAGTCAACATCAAGTGAAAAAAGGCAAGACTCAAAATTACAGATGCAATTCTTGTTTTTATAATTTAACAAAAATTCATAGTCATTTTTATTTTCTTCTTTATGTTTCTCTGCATTATGTAGATTTTCTACGGTGGACAATATTTCTTTAATTTTATAATGTGTACATTATTAAAAAATAATTTCCTTAAATAGGAAAGCTCAGTTGTTTTATGTCCAGCATAAGGCAGTCAAATCATTGACTATATAAATAGTAATCTAGCTGTTGGCTAACTTCATGTTAAAAGACAAAATCAGTTCTTTCATTTTTCCTCCACAATTCTCTTCAGTAACTAGTCTGGGGGACCCAAAGTAGAAAAAATATGTTCTTTGGTAGTCAATAAATGATACTGAATTGAATGATAGAGATTCAATGCAGTACTTGGTATTTTTTTTTTTTTGAGACAGAGTTTCGCTCTTGTTGCCCAGGCTGGAGTGCAATGGCGCGATCTCAGCTCACAGCAACCTCCACCTCCCGGGTTCAAGCCATTCTCCTGCCTCAGACTCCGGAGTAGCTGGAATTACAGGCATGCGCCACCATGCCCAGCTAATTTTGTATTTTCAGTAGAGATGAAGTTTCTCCGTGTTGGTCAGGCTGTTCTCGAACTCCCGACCTCAGGTGATCTGCCCGCCTTGGCCTCCCAACGTGCTGGGATTACAGGCGCAAGCCACCACGCCTGGCCAGTACTTGGTATTGTTTTTAAAAACATTGGATAGTAACTCCTATTTAACATAAATTCTAATTAAATGCTTAAAACTGAGTGCCTGGGAAATAGTTCTATTAAATGCTTCCAGCTATAAGAATTTCAGAAGAATCTATTGATTCCTGTAATTAATTGTGTATTTCTTGGAATAAAGTAGTACTTAATTAATGGAATTTGTGTGGCTGAGATGAAGCATGGGACTATAATGAACAAAAAAACCAAAGACACAGATTTAAAGGAGAAGGAAAAAAACCTCCAAAGACCTATTCCCATCACTTTCGTCAAAATTCTTTAATTTTTCAACATGTTATACACATGTCTAGAAAAAAAATACAAAAGGTTACTCACCAAAATGTTAACATTGTTTAGCTCTGACTCTGTTTTCTTTTTTCTCGTCTGTCTTCCTAGTTTTTAAAAACTCAAACTAAACTTTTGCCAAATTTTAAAGTTTTATTAAGAAGAGTTCACTGGCTGGGTGTGGTGGCTCACGCCTGTAATCCTAACACTCTGGGAGACCAAGGCGGGAGGATCTTTGAGCCCAGGAGTTCAGAACCAGCATGGGCAACATAGTGATCCCATCTCCATTTTAATGTAAATAAAATTTTAAAAAATTTTAATTAAAAAAAGAGTTCATGTTTAAACATAATTAGGTTTGGCAACTGGACACAGTGGTTCACGCCTGTAATCCCAGCACTTTAGGAGGCCAAGGTGGGTGGATCACTTGAGGTCAGCAGTTTGAGACCAGCCTGGCCAACATGGTGAAACCCCGTCTCTAGTAAAAATACAGAAAAATTATCCAGGTGTGGTGGTGCATGCCTGTAATCCCAGCTACTCAGGAGGATGAGGTGGGAGGATCGCTTGAAACCGGGAGGTGGGGGTTGCAGTAGGCCAAGACTGTGCCACTGCACTCCAGCCTGGATGAAAGAGTGAGATTCTGTCTCAAAAAAAAAAAAAAAAAAAAAAAAAAGAAAAAAATTAGGTTTGGCAATGATGAGGAAAAGAAAAATAAAGGTAGAAAGAGAACTTATGTTGATTGTAAAACAAACTCTAAAGCCATATACTTTATAACCACTTGTGGGAGGAGAAAGGGATATGAAAAAGTAGAAGTCTTGGCCGGGCGCGGTGGCTCACGCCTGTAATCCCAGCACTTTGGGAGGCCGAGGCGGGCGGATCACGAGGTCAGGAGATCGAGACCATCCTGGCTAACACAGTGAAACCCCGTCTCTACTAAAAATACAAAAAATTAGCCAGGCGTTGTGGCAGGCGCCTGTAGTCCCAGCTACTTGTAGTCTTAGGTACTCGGAAGCCTGAGGCAGGAGAATGGCATGAACCCGGGAGGTGGAGCTTGCAGTGAGCCGAGATTGTGCCACTGTACTCCAGCCTGGAAGACAGAGCCAGACTCTGTCTCCAAAAAAAAAAAAAAAAAAAAAAAAGTGGAAGTCTGAAAACCTACTGAGTTATGAGGCAGAAATTAATTTTTTGTAGACACGAGGGAATAGGACAGAACCAGGGTGAGATGACAGGCATATGAGAAATTTTGTTAACCTGAAGACACAGGTCTGGATAAAGAAAGGGTAGAATATGCCTTGAAAAGTCCTTCCTGGCCTCCTACTCAGCCAGTCATCTCAGACACCCCCAACTCATCCATGTTGGATTGAACAGCCCCTCCATACCACGTACTGCAGTGTGGCCCTCACACCACAGTCTTGAAAGATGCAAATAACCATGGGTTAAGGTTTAAAATCAAGAAAACTAGGAAGACTTCTGCTTATCAATTTTTTTTTTTTTTTGGTAGAGTCAGGCTCTCACTATGTTGCACAGACTGGTCTTGAACTCCTGGGTTCAAGCCATCCTCCCACCTCAGCCTCCTGAAGTGCTGGGATTACAGGCATGAGCCACCTCGCCTGGCCTTATCAGCATAACTTTACATGCTCCCTTCTCGCTTCTACTTTTCTCTTTTAAATTCTGTACTGAAAGAAGTTTTGGCGAAAAAAGCCTACTGTTTGACAGGAAAAGTTGTGAAAATTATTACACAGCATATGACAGTTTTTCCAAAGTTCATTCATGCGTATTATCTTGTTTAATATTCAAAAAGGTCTTTGGAATTCGTATTACACTCATACTATAGATGGGCAAATAAATGGAAACTGAGAAGGGGAAAAAAGCTTCCTAAGCTAGGCAACTAGAAGTCTGCAGGGTTAGGCTCGAGCCCAGAGCTGCTGTCTCCCACAAAGCACAGAATAATTCATTCCGTCACTTTGTCTTAGGCATGTAAAGTACCTCTACAGAGAGTAGCTTTTCTGACACAAACATGTACAACTGGACAAATAACTACACAATGAAGTAAAAGCACAGGCAAATTTATTTCACAAGCATAATTTACACTATTTTGAAATTCTGATTTTTGAGAATGTGTCACCATATAGAGAATTATAATCGGTGTATTTGTCTAAATATGATTTAGTATGAGAATGTTCCCTACATTCTAAGTCTAAAGTGCATTTTCAATGAATGCCATATATACCAGAACAATCTTTTATCTTAACAGCAATAACGAAGAATGTTAGCCTGAGTATTAAAAAGAAAAAAGAGGGCTGGGCGCGGTGGCTCACTCCTGTAATCCCAGCACTTTAGGAGGCTGAGGCGGGCAGATCACAAGGTCAGGAGTTCGAGACCAGCCTGGCCAACATGGTGAAACCCCATCTCTATGAAAAACACAAAAATTAGCTGGGCGTGGAGGCTCGTGCCTATAATCTCAGCTACTCAGGAGGCTGAGGCAGGAGAATCGCTTGAACCCGAGGTGGAGGTTGCAGTGAGCCGAGATCGCGCCATTGCACTCCAGCCTGGGTGACAGGGCGAGACTCCATCTCAAAAAAAAAGAAAGAAAAAGAAAAAAGAAAAAAGAACAGTAAGTTGAAATTATCAAGAACTGCTACTCAGCAACATTTCAATTTCACAGGATTTTAAAAAGCACACAAGATGCACAGTAATAAAACTATCACTTCTGTGCTTCAGACACTGTTGTCATAGGAATCATTCCTCAGCTTTGCTGACTTGTGTCTAAATTTTTACCTATAACACTGTACTTCCATGGTGATGTTACAGAAATACACTTCACTTGGACAAAGAGACAATGTGTGAGAAAAGTCTCCATTCTATTGATGAAGCAAAAATGTCCTCCAGCAAAAAATGAGGACTTAAAAAAATGGAGATTAATTAAAAGATTGCCCATAGGCCTAAAAGTCAAAGAGATACAAAAATCAGCCAGACATGGTGGTGTGTGCCTGTAGTCCCAGCTACTCGGGAGGCTGAGGTGGGAGGATGGCTTGAGCCTGGGAGGCAGGTTACAGTGAACCAAGACTGCGCCACTGCAATCCAGCCTGGGTGACAGAGCCAGAGCCTGTCTCTAAATAAATTAATTAATTAAACACAAATAAAAAATAGAAGTCAAAGAGGAACATGAGAAATTAAATGAAACCATAAGAGAAGTCATAATTTAAAGTGTTTTTCTAAGGCACTAAATGACGAATGACAGAGGATTACCATTGTCTTCCAGTAAGCACACTAAGGCATGAGTGTCGAAGTAGAGTTTCCTGCTCCCAGAAGAGGTGAAATCTCTCCTTTTGCGCTCCAGCTGCAGGGATCCAGCAGACAAGCTTAGCTCTAGGGTGGAAAGGACAGTAAGCTCAAAACAGACTTCATGCAAAACAAAAGCAACTCAGCACCCAGAGAAAATAAGGCATACCCCAAAGCCTTCGTGGTACTTTATAACAGCTTCGTTGAGATATACAATTCACCCAATTTCAAGCATACAGTTCAATAGGTTTTGGCATAGAGTTGTGCTACCATCCCACAATCAAATTTAGAATACTTTCATCACTGTCAAGACAAATTGTACCCCTTAGCTGTCACCTTCCAATTCCCCCAGCCCTTCTCAACTGCCCCCAACCATACCCAGGACAAGCACTGGTCTATTTGCTGTCTCTTTTGTTTACCTACTCTGAAGATTTCATAGAAATGGAATCATATAATATATATAGTCTTTTGTGACTGGCTTCTTTCACTTAGCATGTTTTCAAGGGTCATCCGTGTTGTAGCACGTCAGTACTTTTATTTCTTTGTATTGCTGAATACTCCTCCATTGTATAGCTACAGTAAATTTTGTGTATCCATTTACTAGTTGAAGGATGCTTGAGCTGTTTCTACTTCTTAGCGATTACGAATTACATGGACGTTGTTTTCAATGATCTTCAGAATATACTTAGGAGTAGAATTGCTGGATCATATGATAACTCCATGTTTGTTTTAGCAACTGCCAGACTGTTTTCCAAAGCAGCTATACCATTTTACACTCCTTCTAGCAGCGCACGAGGGTCTCAATTTCTCCACATCCTCACCAACCCTTGCTATTATCTGGGTTTTTAAAAAATTATAGTCATCCTATTGGGCGTAAAGTGGTATCTCACTGTGGTTTTAATCAGCATTTCCCTGATGACTAATGATGCTGAGCATTTTTTATGGGCTTGTTGGCCATTTGGATATCTTCTTTGGAGAAATGTGTATTCAAGTCAGCTATGGTTTGAACGTGTTTCCCAAAGTTTATGTGTTGAAAACTTAATCCCCAAAGCAACAGTGTTGAGAGGTGGGTCCTTTAAGGGATGATGACTAGGCTATCAGGAGGGCTCTGTTCATGAATGGATTAATGCTGCTATCCTGGGGGTAGGTTTCTGATAAAAGAATGAGTTTGCCACCCCTTCCCCGACACGTGTGCTGTTCTGCCTTCTGCCATGTTATGAAGCAGCACGAAGGGCCTGACCAGATGTGGTCCCCTCAATCTTGAACTTCCTAGCCTCCAGAATTGCAAGAAATGTGTCTCTTTTCTTTATAAAGTACCAGTCTGTGGTATCTCCTTATAGCAGCACAAAACAGACTAAGGCAAAGTCCTTTGCCCATTTTTAATAGGGTTGTCTTTCTATTACTGAGCTGTAAGAGTTCTTCATATATTCTAGATACAAGCTCCTTATCTGATTATGATTTGAAAATATTTTCTCCCATTCTGTCGGTTGTCTTTTCACTTTTCGATACTGTCTTTTGAAGCACAGAAGTTTACTTTTGATGAAGTCCAATTGATCTGTTTTTTCTTTTGTTGCCTGTGCTTTTTTCTTTTGTTGCTTGTGCTTTTGATAACATACCTAAGAAACCACTAGGTAATCCAAGTACATGAAAATTTACACCCATGTCTTCTAAGAGTTTTATAGTTTTAGCTCTTACATTGAGGTCTTTTCCTCATTTTGGATTAGTGTTTTAAATGGTGTGTGGTAGTGGGTTCAGCTTCATTCTTCTCCATGTAGATATCTAGTTGTCCCAGCACCATTCCCTCCACTGAAATGTCTTGTCACTCTTGTTGAAAATCAGTGGGCTGTAAGCATGAGGCCTTGTGTCTGGGCTCTCCATTCTAATGCATTGATCTATGTGTTTGTCCTTACGCCAGTGCCACACTTTCTTGATTACTTTTAAGTTTGTTTTAAGTTTGACATCAGAAAGTGTTTTTTTTGTTGTTGCTCTTGACGTTTTTTTAAGACAGGGTCTCGCTCTATTGCCCAGGATGGAATGCAGTGGTGCAAGCATAGCTCACTACAGACTCGACCTCAGCCTCCCAAGGTGTGGGTTATAAACTCTGTTGTTTGCCAAGATTGTTTAGCTATTCTTGTTTTCTTGTATTTCCCTATGAATTTTAGGATCTGTGTGTCAATTTCTACAAGAAAACCACTTGGGATTTTGATAGGGATGTGTTACATTTGTAGATCAGTTTGAAAAGTACTGCCACCTTAATATTAAGTATTCAGATCAATGAACATGGATGTCTTTCCATTTATTTAGGAACATTATACTTTAAAGTACATTATACTTTAAGTACATTGTACTTTTTATAAGTTGCTGGATTTGGCTTGCTAGTATTTTGTTAAGGATTTTCTCATCTTTAATCATAAGAGATATCGGTCAATAGCATTCTTTTCTTGTAATGTCTTTGCAAAAGCCTATCTTTAGAGAGCTATGTTCTAACAATTTTTACATTACCTTTTCTATAAGTTTTTGTGCATTTAGCCACAGATCCAATCCATTCTGTAAACTTCTTGTTTCAAGGTACTCATCTGAGGGAGGTGGTATAGTATATGGTACAGTTGGCTTTTGGATTTTATGAACTGCTAAAATCTTTTTTTTTTTAATTGGGTCAGGTGAACTAGTTCATGGTTGTAATTCCAATACTTTGAGAGGCCAAGGTGGGAAGATCACTTGAGGCCAGGTATTCGAGACCAACCTGGGCAACACTGCAAGACCTCCTCTCAAAAAAAAAAAAAAAAATTAGCCGAGTGTGGTGGTGTGTGCCTGTATTCCCAGCTACTCCCAGCTACTTGGGAGGCTGAGGCAGGAGGATGGCTTGAGCCCAGGAGTTTGAGGCTGCAGTGAGCTATGATTGCACCACTGCACTCCAGCCTGGGTGACAAAGCAAGATCCTGTATCGAAAAAAAAAATATTTAAAGGCCGGGCGTGGTGGCTCACGCCTGTAATCCCAGCACTTTGGGAGGCCGAGGCAGATGGATCATGAGGTCAGGCATTCACGATCAGCCTGGCCAAGATGGTGAAACCCCGTATCTACTAAAAATACAAAAATTAGCCATGCGTGGTGGCAGGCACCTGTAATCCCAGCTACTCGGGAGGCTGAGGCAAGAGAATTGCTTGAACCTGGGAGGCGGAGGTTGCAGTGAGCCAAGATCGCACCACTGCACTACAGCCTAGGTGACACAGCGAGACTTCATCTCAAAAAAAAAAATTAATTAAAAATAAATAAACAATATTTGAGTTGCCAATTTTTAATTGTGTCATGAAAGAACTTTTAAATATAGCTGCTTACTACTACTATTAAATATTGTACTAAAAAAGACATTATGACACCAAAAGAAAAAAAAAGATGAACAATCAAAAGAACTTCCATTTAATCAACTTAGTATATGAAAATCTTGCTACATATTTGTCATTACTTTTCTAATTTTGCCGTTAACTGGCACCAGTCTGAGGTCTGGTGTTGTAGAAGTCTGGTAGGAGCAAGAAGGGTCACCTGCCAACTCAAAGGTCAAAGGTTTCCCCAGCAGGCCTCTGAATGACCAGAAAGATGCTCCAGCTGATCAGCTTCCACTCTCAGTCCTTCACCCCGATTACCCTATAATGAAATCGAGAGTAAACAAAACAAAAAAATGGACTGAACCCTACAAATGTGACGCTTTGCTGCAGCCTATGGGAGTTGTTCCCAGCCTACTCACAGCTTGGGAAGGGGAGGGTAGCTGTGGTCACTGTAAGCATCCAGATGAGTGCAAGAGATGCAATAATCCATATCTGTATCAAGAACCATTTGCAGACTGACACAATATAAAGTGCAATGACTTATGTGTGTTTGTGTTTGTTGGTAAAACTGGGCCCTGAGATTCAAAGAACCACTGTGCTATGACAGGAGGTCCTTGACCTGGCATACAAAGCCCTTGCTATTTATGACCACGCTTATCCTTTCAGCTTTCTTTCTAGCAACCTAAGCTATTCTATTTCCTGCAATTGCATGCTTAAGCATGGCTTGCTCCCCTTTCCCAATCGTTAAACTTTAAGCATTCTTTTTACCCTTCTTCATTAAATTGCCAATTTACTGAGTATACATTATGTTCCAGGTGTGGCATTTTCTTTTTTACACTTTATGGTTCTCTCTGCTTCCTCCACCCAGCTAAGGGAGCAACCTTTATTGAGCCCATACCTGTGTTCTCAGCTCAGTACAGATAGCTCATCGTAGCACTTACTACATTATTTCCTCATCTGTATCATCTATTTGTCCAAGCTGCCCAGGAGCAGCCAGTCTTGCTCATTTTTTATCTTTAGCATCTGGCAAGGGGCCTGGCATACAGCAGGCTAGGAATAATTTTTTTTTTTTGGTAATTGAACTGTAATGACTTCTACAATCTGGATTATGAAACTGTCTAGAGGGAAAATTTGAGATGAATTCCTTTCTCCTCAGTTCTTCCCTTTTCACATAAACGAGCTCACTTAAATCTGGTACCTCTTTTTTAGTTTATTTCCAGTCCTGAGACTAAAACTGGCCTCCATGAGAAGAGACCCAGGATGTCTGCCCAACACAGAAGAGACCTAGCCTGAGAAACAGTGGGAGTGAAGGAATGAAAGCACTTCTCCAGGGGACCTCCTAAGGACCACCTCACCTGCCCCAGAACTCTACTGGACTGCCCCATGTGTCAGGGAGCTCGAAAACACCTGAGTCTGGAATGACTTGTGAAGAGTGACAGGGTTACTCTAGACCTAAATTCCTTGTTTCTAGTAAGAAAATAATCATTCATGTATTTAAAACATAACCTCCTCACCCCCACCCCCACATAAACAAAACAATCACATGACTACTTTGTAACGCCAATTTGGATACTACAGTTTTTTTGTTATTGTTGTTCTTTTTCAAAAAGATTGGAACCAGAAACAGCAAGCTTATTTCCAAGAAATCCTGCCTCTGAAAGGTCGACAGAAGGGCTGGCCACTTTCCATTGGTCACTCCAACCCCTGATGAGGGAAGGAAATGCCCTCTTGGCCTTCTGTCAAAGGGCAGTACCTGAGGACACCGCCAACTCCCAGACTCCTCACTGATCATAAGGAAGCGAGCCAACTGAGCTGTGTCAACGTGTAACATGCAATTCCCCTTTCTGGGGACCTTCAGCATATCAAGAGAATATTAAAAACCCACAATTACAATAGAGGCCCAAAGGTAGCCTTGGACAGGATGAGGAAACCAAATACAAACTTCCTACTCATGACATCCTTAAGTAGCTCAACCGAGAACCTCAGGCACCAAGCAAACAAATGGTTGGGAAACGCTCATTGGCTGGTTAATGGGCATACATGCTTCCTTAACTGTGTCTCTGCTCTCTTCTGTTTTTATGCATCCATACTCATTTTTTATGATGACTGAAGAATGAGATAGCTGACACTAAAACAACAGTACCACCTTACCGATTGGTCAGCAAATCCGTGAGAAAGAACACTCTCTTTTTGCCCTATACTCTTGCATTGAGAGAAAAACAAATTGGAAATTACTAGCTTGTCAGAAAAAGCGCAACAAAAGGCAAAATACAGAATAAAGACCAAACTCATCTCCGACTCCTAATTACTGAAGGACAGTGACACCGAGTTCACTACTCATTCCCCACTCTCTGTATATAAAGTTTCCTTCACTTTATTGCTCTACTAATCAGTTTTTACCCCAGCCAATGATATTCTTAAATTATAGATATGGTCAACATTTAGTGGGCCTATCTGTTGAAGAAAATATGAAAAATGTGTAGTTAGTGATGGCTACTAATGAATATGTATAGACTGCCCAAAGTGATAATTTTGCCAAGTCTGTTGATTATCAGAAATGATTTTTTTCTTTAATCAACAATATGCTATCTAATAAATTGATTCTATTTACTTTCCTCATCTCCAGGGCAGTGATCTCTCTCACCTCCTTTAAATAGTCATGAGCCCCACAACTACCTTTCAGCCCAGGACAGAGGGGCACACACGACAGTGGTCTATGAGACTATAATACATATTTTTACTCTACCTTTTCTACATTTAGATGCGCAAATACCATTGTGTTCAGATTGCCTCTAGTATTCAGTACGGTAACATGCTGTTCAGGTTTGTAGCCTAGGAGCACTAGCCTCTACCTGATAGTCTAGGTGTGTAGTAGGCTGTAGCATCCAGGTTTGTGTAAGCACACTCTACAATATTCACACAAGGAAGAAGTCGCCTAATGACTCATTTCTCAGTAGGCGACTGTCCTGAAGAGATGCATGACTCTAATTAAATGCTACCTTCTCAATGAAATCGATTCTGATCACCCTATTTAAATTCACAACTGGAGACCCATTCCACTTCCCAAGCCTTATCCTATTTTTCTATACCAGGCATCGAATTACGAATATATAAAAATTATTTGTATATATAAATTATATATACATCAATTATGCATACGTATATCCACACACACATATTTACTGCGTCTGCTCTGCTAGAATTAAGCTCCAGAGGGAAGATTTTGTGGACTGATATATCTCACACATCTAGAAAAGCGCCAGGGACAGGGCAGACGCTAGGACTCCACGAATTAATGATTCCATCAGAATTTGAAATCAAACTGTAAAGCAATCCCTTCATTTCCCAGAGCTTTGCTGCTCAAACATACACACCCCTTCCCCTTGAACGCCCAACAGGCTGGGCGCTGCCAAACAGAACTCCTGGAAGGCGGCGCCCAAAAGCAGACCCTAGGAGTGGGCGGGCACCAACTCCCCGCCCCAGCACGCACCTCCCTCCAACTTTAGCGCCCGGGATTCCCAGGAATTCGTCTCTTCTGGGCTAAGCCCCGCCACCGCGGCCGAGCAGGGCGGGCCCGGACCTTCGACCCACGCTCCGGGCAGATGCCGGTGGCCTTGGAGGACCCGCCCTCCGGCCTGCCGGGCCTTTCCTCGGGGAGGCTGTAGCTGAGATCCCCGCCCCGCCGTCCAACCCCGCGAGACGAGCCCCCTCTCCTCTCCCGCCCGGGCCTCACCTCTCCTGCAGGAAACGAGTGCAGGCGCCGGGCCGTGGTACTGGGGAAGGGCGCCGGCGGCAGCGGCGACGCCCGGTGAGCACCTCCACGCGCTGCTGCGCCCGGCCGGGGGTGCGGCATACCCGAGGCGCGAGCGCTCCCAGTCCCCGAGCTGCCGGCGCGGGGCTGCGGCGGCCAAGCGCGGGGAGGGCACTAGCAGGAGGAGGAGCAGCGGTGAGGCACGTGACACGCCGCCGCGGGCCGCCGGGGCGCGAGGGCGCAGCGCCCCCAGACCGTCGGAGAGCGCAGAGAGGCAGCGGCGTGCTGAGGTTTCGCTGCCGCCCGGTCTTCCGCTGAGGCCCACGGGCAAGAAGAGAAGCCGCTGGCGGCCGGGCAGGCGCTGGGTCCTCTGGCCGCCGACCGAGCCGCAGTCCATCCCCGAGCAGTTCACTGGCCCGGGCGCGCGCTCATGCCTCTCGCTTTTGGCGCCGGCCACGCGCGGTCCAGGCCCAGAGTCCGACAGCGGGAGCGAGCGTGGGCCACAGCGCAGGACCGCCCTTTCCTGCCGGGCGCGCGGGCGGGGCTCGGGACGCGCGCCGGGGGTGGGGTGGGGCGGGGCGGCAGGAGCCCGCCGTGGCGCTCCGAGATGCGGGGACCGTGCGAGCCCCCACCCCATTCGCTAGGCGACGGCGGCGACCGGGAGGAGCCTGCGGGCACTCCGGAACTGGAAGGAGCTTGTTGCTGTCACGATTTGCATTTTCACTGCACTGCTGTCCTTAAAAAGGAATTACCCCGGTGCCCTTCAGAGTCCTGTGAAAAGTCTCAGACCGACAGGCTGCCCTAGATTTCACTGATTATCCTAAGTCCCCAAACATGTGGTTCTGGGGAGCATTTTAAGGAATTATTAGCAGGGCCCAGGGAAAGGCCCTCACATAATACATTCAAAACTAAATTTTCAGAGTTTTTGTTTCCAGATTAGAGCACCAAAAACATGGGAAGGTAGCAATCTGGGAACTTAAAACGTGGGGCATGAATGTTAAAATGAGACCTGTCGGGTATATTTGAAACTGGTAATGTTTAGTTTCGTGGACTTTTTGAAGGCCTGTTACACCATTCACAGATAACTGGTCCCTTATGTGAATTTGGAAGATGTTAGTTGAATAAATAAATGAAATGCATAAGGCACCAAGCTAGGAGATTTTATTAAAAATAAAAAACCGCAAAACAAATTGTTCTTATCCTCCAGAAGCTGTTTTCCTATACAGCCATATGTGTACACATACGTGATGGAAGAATGTGTTATGAGCCATGAGAGATGTACAAAGTGCTGGGAAGAGAGGAGCGTGCATATGGATGTGCAAGATAAGTGTCTATCAAAATTTGAAGAACTGAAAAACAGGATTCAAGTCATAGGTTGGTGCAAAAGTAGTTGCGGCTTTTGCCATTGCAAGTAATGGCAAAAACCGCAATTACTTTTGCACCAACCTAAGACACTTTTGTAAAAGGAGTATACATTTATAAAATTGGTAGAAAAAGCAGTTTAGCAATGAGTATCAACAAAAATTTGTAAACTTTTCTCAAGTCACCTAACTAAAAATGGGGATAATGGGAATAATCCAAAATATTAAATATCTACTAGGTTTGACTATACAAACTTGTCATTTTTATGGGTCAAAATGCTTAATATTGGTAATTTCACATATGCACAAAAGATAGTCATTGTATCATAATTTGTGATTGTGAAAAAATGGGAAAATAGTGCACAACATTAGAGGAACGATTAAACTGTGGCACAAACTTTAATGTTAGTCCTTTGTAATTTTTAAAAATTGAGGTATAATTTGCATACAGTAAATTCCACAGACTTAGGTGACATTTAGCAGTTGATAAATGTCATTTAGCAACTTGATGACATTTAGCAGTTGTATATACCACCCAGTCAAGATCTAGAACATTTTCATTGCTCCAGAAAGTTATTTTGTGCCAGTTTTCCAGACAATCCACCACCACCCCAAGGCAACTATTTTCTCTTTTTTTTTTTGAGACGGAGTCTTGCTCTGTCACCCAGGCTGGAGTGCAGTGGTGCAGTCTCAGCTCACTGTGTCCTCTGCCTCCCGGGTTCAAGCAATTCTCCTGCCTCAGCCTCCTGAGTAGCTGGGATTACAGGTGTCTGCCACCACGCCTGGCTAATTTTTGTATTTTTAGTAGAGACGGGGTTTCACCATATTGGCCAAGCTGGTCTCGAACTCCTCACCTTGTGATCTGCCCGCCTCGGCCTCCCAACGTGCTAGGATTACAGGCGTGAGCCACCGCGCCCGGCCAACTATTTTCAAATTTCAATGACCATAGATTAGTTTTGTCTTTTTTTGAACTTCATGTAAATGGAGACCTACAATATGCATTGCCTTGTGTCTTTCTTCTGCTTTGCGTCTGACTTCAATATCAATGAGATTCATCCATGCTGTTGTATCAGTAATTAGTTGCTTTTAATTGTTGAATAGTATTCCATTGTATGACCATACCACAAGCGGTCATCCATTCTATTAATGGCCATTTGCTTTGCTTATAGTTTTTGGCTATTATGCATAGGGCGTTATGAACATTCTTGTATAAGACCTTGTGTGGACATAATTTTTATCCCTGTTGGGGAAAGTATCTGGGTCAAATTGCTGAATCATATGGTAGCTTAACTTTAGACACTGCTGAATTGTTTTTCCAAAGCGACTGCACCCTTTCACACTCTTAGCAATAGATGAGCGTTTCGGTTGTTCCACATCCTTGCCAAATTTTGATATTTTCAGTCCTCATAAAATGGTACCTTATTGTGATTTTTAACATAACATTTCCCTGATGCCTAATGATGTTGACTAACTTTTCATGTATTACTATTACCAGCCATATTGAATACAATAACATATGTAAAGCACTTAGCACAGTGCCTGGCCTATGATAGGAGTATAATGAATGTCAGTTCTAACTACAGGTTGGATAGCATCCACTTTTCCTTGGATGTGACACCTGTTGTTTTATTTTCCAAAGCATTCCCTTTCTTTTGGTCTCAGCACCCTAGTTTTCCATGGGCAGTGGCTCTTCTCTGCTCTCAGTCCATGCGGTTTGGAGAGACTGATCGCTCTGCAGACCACAGGCATGGGCATGTCACCCAATCAGAGTTAATGAGCAGCCGGGCGCGGTGGCTCACGCCTGTAATCCCAGCACTTTGGGAGGCCAAGGAGGGCGGATCACTTGAGGTCGGGAGTTGGAGACCAGTCTAGAGAAACCCCGTCTCTACTAAAAATACAAAATTAGCTGGGTGTGGTGGCACATGCCTGTAATCCCCGCTACTTGGGAGGCTGAGACAGGAGGACTGCTTGAACCCAGGAGGTGGAGGTTGCGGTGAGCTGAGATTGCACCATTGCACTCCAGCCTGGGCAACAAGAGTGAAATTCCATCTAAAAAAAAAAAGCTTCAATTCTAGGATTCTTTTTTTGTTTGTTTATTTGAGATGGAGTCTCACTCTGTTGCCCAGGCTGGAGTGTGGTGGCTCAATCTTGGCTCATTGCAACCTCCACCTCCTGGGTTCAAGCGATTCTCCTGTCTCAGCCTCCCACGTAACTGGGATTACAAGCAAGCACCACCATGCCCAGCTAATTTTTGTATTTTTTAGTAGAGACGGGGTTTCACCATGTTGGCCAGGCTAGTCTCAAACTCCTGACCTCAAGTGACCTGCCTGCCTCAGCCTCCCAAATTGCTGGGATTACACGTGTGAGCCACCACGCCTGGCCCAATTCTAGGGTTCTTAATAGGAACTATTGGGAAGAGGTCGTCTTATTTTATTGTGATGTCTAGGTATAGGATGATTTGAACCATGAGCTCCTGGGGCTACCATGTGGCCTAAGACTAAAGCCCTTATGAAGAAAAGAAGACTGAGAAATGAAGAGACGGGTCCTTTTGAGCGTCTGATTCTAGCTTAGGCTGAAATTGGCATTTTATTTATGTAATCCAATAAGTTGCTTTTACTTAAACCAGCTGGGATAGGGCTTCTGATTCCTATCCCGGATACATTAGTGTACATTAGGATAATCTAGACATGTTAGACTTCTGTCTATGTATAGAGAGACTAGATACAGGAATCTAATGGCCAATGAAGAAGAAGAAGTATCAACTAATTAATGGATCAGGCAGGAGCCAGACAACCCCCATGTGAACCATGACAAAGTTGGACTTTATGACAAAGTTGGATTGGTGAATATACTTGGATCTGGGGCCAAAGTGGGGCCATCTTACTCTCTCTCTGTATCTAGACTTAGGGACCTCCCATGAGTAAAGCTGGATTCACAGAGCAGACTCTGACTTAGCCACCATCTGTGAGAAGTTTAGGTGGCCTTATATATTCTAGGTGTCATCAGGAGAAAAGAGATGGAAGATGGCCAGAGCTATCCCTGAAAGATCTACTGGGTCTGTTTTAGCAGGTAGTAACAGAAAGGTCAAGGGCTCATTGTCCCCGGTGCAAGCAGGTCAAAGAGAGAACAAAGGAGTTGGAACATTCCTGGATGTGACCTTTAGCATACTGATACTCTTACTAGTAAACACTGATGGGGGAATGTCAACTTCCACTAATCAAACTACTATTCTCCGTAATTGAAGAGTGTTAAAGGGTGAAGAAAGGATTCTCCTTCTGGGTAAAATGGAATAAGCACACTCCACCCTGTCTTTCCACCTGAATGCAGGCATAAAAGCTGGACAGAATGCATAGAGCCACTATTTGAGGACTCTGAAAAGTAAATAATAGCAGGCACATCAGTGAAGAAGACAAAAATCAAAGTACCACTGAACTGATGTTTAGTTTAGTATTTTTTCCAATGTATGAGCTCCCCTAGCTTGAACTGTCAACCCATAGTTCTATTACTAGCAAAAATATCCTTCAGTAATGAAGTGATGAAATAAAGACATCCTCAGATGAAGGAAAACTAAGAGGAGTTGTTTTTAGTAAGCTTGCACTAAAAGAATTGCTAAAGGAAATTCACCATATAGTAGGGAAATGATACCAAAAGGAAACTTGGAGCATTAGGAATAAAGGAAGAGCAACAGAAATGGCAAATACCAAGATAAGTATAATATTCTTCTCCTCTTTAGTTCTTTAAAATATGTTAAATGATAGAAAGCAAAAATTCAAACAATGGTGAAGTTTTTAATGTTTATAGATGTGGTATATAATAACTACAAAATAAAAGGGCAAGGATAAAGAGACCTATATGGTAGTGAAGTTTTCATATTGCACTTACAGTGGTAAAATACTGATTCTAAGTAGAGTTAGAAAAAGTTAAATATGTCTACTGTAATCCCTAGAGCAACCCATAAAGATACTGTACAAAGAGATATAGGTTGGGCACAGAGGCTCATGCCTGTAATCCCAATACTTTGGGAGGCTGAGGTGGGAGGATGGCTTGAGGTCAGGAATTCAAGACTAGCCTAGGAAACATAGTGAGACCCCACCTCTACAAAAAAAAAAAAAAAAAAAAAAAAAAGAAAGCCAGACATGGTGGTGAATGCTTATAGTCCTAGCTACTCAGGGGGCTGAGGTGGGAGAATCACTTGAGCCCAAGAGTTTGAGGCTGCAGTGAGCTATGATCAAGTCAAAACACATAATAGATAAAATGTAATATTAAAAAATGTTCAAGTAACCCAAAAGGAGATAGGAAAGGAGAAATAGAAGAACAAAAAACAGAGATAAAAACTAAAAGCAAACAATAAAATATTAGGCATCAATCTAAACATATCAATAATTACATTAAGTGTAAATGGTCTAAATCAGTGGTTGAGGAATGTTTTTAAAAAGCCATATAGTAAATATTCGGCTTTGTGAACCATAAGCAATCTCTTTTACATATTGTTCTGTTCAAAAACAGGTGGTGGGTTGGATTTGGCCCATGGGCCATAGTTGGCCAACCTTTGGTCTCAACATGCCAATTAAAACAGAGAGAATGTCAGAATGGATTAAAAAAAGAAGAAAGCACAGCCTAGTTATATACTGCCTACAAGACACTCACATCAGTTATAATAATATACGTAGGTCAAAAGTCAAGGATGAGGAAACGAGGATGCTCCTCAGGAGGTGAAAGTCTTGATAAAAGTTTTTTCTAATGTGTACTAAGATGGGAAATTGAGAGAAATAGAAGGGATTCTCCCTGATCCTTTCTCTTCCCTTGTATGAAAGTCAGACTCCTGATAACATCTGCATTTAAGAACATAGCCCTGAAACTGGAAGTAAAGAATGCCTCTGAGTTTTATCAGTAACCTTCACCAAACCTGAGCTCTTTATGCCACAATAAAGTCTATTAGGCACTCATTCTGAGCCTACTTACTCTTATTTTACACATAGTTAACTATGTTAGCCACTCCGCCAGTGTCATGAGATGAGAAAAAAGATAGAAGGGAGGAAAAATCAGAAACTAATGTGTAAAGTAGAGTAAGAAAGGCGTGTGACAATACAATTGCCACTGGACCATATAATGGTAACCAAGAGGACCTAAGGAAGGTCAAGATATAACTAACTTCTCCCGTTTAAGCATTTCATTTAGTACAAATCTTACTTAAAGGAGAACTTTCTTTTCAATCTGTGGGTTCCATTTTTCTTTTAGAGAATGTTTTCTTTATATATATATTTACATATAATATATAATATTATATTATATATATTTACATATAATATATATTATATTATATATATATTTACATATAATATATAATATTATTATATTACATATATATAAATATATTTTAATAGAGTTGGGGGTCTTTCTATGTTGCCCTGACTTGTCTTGAACTCCTGAGCTCAAGGAATGTACCCACTCTGGCCTCCCAAAGTGCTGGGATTACAGGTGTGAGCCACTGTGCCTGGCTTTGTTTTCACATATTTTTGATAATTTTTCTGTTGCTTCGTTGAATTTTTACTTCAAGCGACAATTACCTATATATTGGGTCACTTTTTAAAAATGATGTCTTTCATTTTCTTTAATCTAGAGCAATCTTTAAGTTGTTTTCTGGGAAGGGTGGGGAGGGAGGTTTTATGACAATGACATTTTTGAGAAGTCCAGACAAGTTGTCTTGTGAAGTGTCCCACAATTCGAATTTGTCCAATTATTTGCTTATGATTAGATTCAGATTACCCATTTTTTGCAAGAATAGCTAGTGTGTAGTGTTCAGTTCATCACATCGGGATGCATACTGTCTCAGGCTTTCCCATCATTCATTGCACTAAATTTGAGCACTTGGCTAAGGTAAGTGTTCAGCAGATTTCTCCATTGGACCTGGGTCACTTTTATTTTCCATATCTATTCATTTTTCTTAAACGACTTTTTGGGTTTTATTTCCTTATGCTCACTTTATTTGTCTCAAGACTTTCCTTCTTGGGAATAATTTAATTTTTTGCTATATCAATTTTGTTCCTTACTGATAAGCAGTGCTGCTCCTGATATTTGTAGGAATAAGAGCAAGAAAATAAATGCAGGGCCATCCTCCATATATCTAAATATTTAGAAGTTATAAACCAAACTAAGAAATTATTAAATTAAAAAATATGCTCTATCCTTCTTCTTTGACAAATATACTTTCATACTAACAAAATAGACAATATGTGTAAAAGCCATGGTTTTTACATGACTGAAATTTGACAAAATATTAAAGGTGATGCATGTAATTATAATTGGGCATATTTGAGTGTTCTGTTCATGGGCCAGCAATGGTTAGATGTGTACTAAAGTAAAAACTTTTATAGTTCATATGCTTTTTGTCTATTCATAACATTAATTTTTCTTTCATTTTAGCAAAATCACTCATTATGTTGGTATAATGAAGATTTTCATATAATTTGTTTTTTAAGAACTTTTTTACATTTTCTTTTTTTTTTTTTTTTTTTGAGACTGAGTTTCACTCTGTTACCCAGGCTGGAATGCAGTGGCACAATCTCGGCTCACTGCAAGCTCCACCTCCCGGGTTCAAGCCATTCTCCTGCCTCAGCCTCCCAAGTAGCAGGGACTATAGGCGCCCGCCACCACGCCCGGCTAATGTTTTGTATTTTTAGTAGAGATGGGGTTTCACTGTGTTGGCCAGGATGGTCTCGATCTCCTTACCTCGTAATCTGCCTGCATAGGCCTCCCAAAGTGCTGGGATTACAGGTGTGAGCCACTGCGTCCAGCCATTTTTCACATTTTCACGTAATCTTTAAAAAAATATATAGAAGAGGCTGGGCGCTGTGGCTCATGCCTCTAATCCCAGCACTTTGGGAGGCCAAGGCAGGAGGATCATGAGGTCAGGAGGTCAAGACCATCCTGGCCAACATGGTGAAACCCCATCTCTACTACAAATACAAAAAATTAGCTGGGTGTGGTGGCATGTGCCTGTAATCCCAGCTACTCAGGAGGCTGAGGTAGGAGAATCACTCAAACTAGAGGTTGCACTGAGCCGTGCGCCACTGCACTCTGAAGCCTGGCGACAGAGCGAGACACCGTCTCAAAAAAAAAAATTATATATATATATATGATTAAAAATTTAAAAAGAACAAAATTTGAATAATTTTCATCAAAAACAAAAAGGATGTAAAAATTTAAATTTTTAAATTGTTTTAATGATTTTTATATTTTTCTTCTAAAATTGAAATTTAAAAACTTTTTTTTTTTAAGAGACAGAGTCTTCCTCTGTCAACCAGGCTGGAATGCAGCGGCACAATCATAGCTTACTGCAGCCTTGAGCTCCTGGGTTCAAGCAATTCTCCCATGTCAGCCTCCCAAGTAGCTGGGACTATACAGGCACATACCACCATACCAGGCTAATTTTTTGAATTTTTTTGTAGAGAAGGGTCTCTTGATCTCTCAGCCTCAAACAATCCTCCCACCTAAGCCTCCCAAAGCACTGGGATGACAGGTGTGAGCCACTGCACCCTGCCTGAAATTTCTCTATCAAAAGACAAAACAGCCTGGGTGCAGTGGCTCATGCCTGTAATCCCAGCACTTTGGGAGGGTGAGGCAGGCAGATCACCTGATGGGTCAGGAGTTTGAGACCAGCCTGCCCAAGATGGTGAAACCCTGTCTCCACTAAAAGTACAAAAATTAGCCAGATATGGTGGTGGGCTCCTGTAATCCCAGCTACTTGGGAGGCAGAGGCAGGAGAATGGCTTGAACCCGGGAGGTGGAGGTTGCAGTGAGCTGAGATTGTGCCACTGCACTCCAGCCTGGGCAACAGAGTCACTCTGTCGCAAATAAAAATAAAAATAAAAATAAATAATAATTACATTGAACAAAAATCAAAATTACATAAAGTTGATATTTTATTTAGTATTTTAAAAGTTTAATACAGTAATAGTAAAAGATTTTTACATTGTAAAACTATTTGTAGTGTTAATGTTCAAAGTCCACATAGTTACCAATGTAAATAATTGGAACTACACTTCACATAAGTTATTTCTTGTCTGTATGTACATACACCTTTAAGAATAATATGTAATATGAGTTGTTTAATGTTGCAAAATGCTCCTCAGATGCCATGTGTAACAGTTGTGAATATGCTTTAATATTTTAGTACCTTCAAAACCAATGAATTAGATACAAAAAGACATGAGAGAATGAATGCTTGGCCTTCTGGGAAATAATACTTTCTTCAGTAAGAATCTATGGGATTCATGCTGAGACTATGTATCTGACAAGCAAGTGAATTGGTCTATTATCCTTCTTAAATTCTTCAGCTCAAATCTTTCTCATTCTCCTGAGCAGTGTCCATCTCTGATACTGGCAAAGGCGCAAAAACCTTCATGGCGTTTGGCATTCTTCGGTACATCAGAAGAAACCTTTCCTTGGGGCCTGAGGGTGTGGATTATGAGAGTAGGTTTAGGGTTGTGGGTTTTGCTGTGCCAGCACAGAACATCAGAGATGTCCACGTGTTCTTTAATGAATTTATCTTCCTGGTCTTTGTGATATCTTCGGTCCTCTAAAGAGCAGGGCCCAGAGCCTGGGTCTCTTTTATCTGTGAGTAATGTCATATATAAGAAGCAGAATCTATGAGTTATGATGAGTATTCTTTTAGTCTTTAATCTGTTTACTTAGAATTGTAAGTTTCTCTTTTCCTGTTGTTGTTTTGTATTTCATCTTGTCTTTAAGTTCTTATTTATAGAATTCATATTTTTTTAGTTGCTTTATAGAGAAGCCGTTATAGAGAATTTCCTTCTCTCCTTTGAGTTATATTTTCTTCAACACTGGGTTCCATATCTTTTTTTTCTTAGTCTGGTTGTTTCTTTGTCCTCCTTTTAAAAAAGTAATAGATTTTCATAATGCAGACAGTATTTGTTTTCATCTTCTTAATGTTTAATGTAGGGGAGTTTATCCAGACTTTCAATTTACTTGGGTGTAATTTCTCCTCAAATCCTTTCTCATTTTTGTGCAAGACCCATTTGTTTTGCCTTCTGGACTGTGGCTGGAGGGCATAGTTCTAGTGCTCTGTCAGCTTTTCTGTATCTATGCATTGGTGGGGAAAAGGTAGCTGTAATTTCCAGTATCCTTTCTTTTTTTTTTTTTTTTTTTGAGATGGAGTCTTGCCCTGTTGCCCAGGCTAGAATGCAATGGCGCAATCTCGGCTCACTGCAACTTCCGCCTCCTGGGTTCAAGCGATTCTCCTGCATCAGCCTCCCAAGTAGCTGGGATTACAGGGGTGCACCACCACGCATGGCTAATTTTTCATATCTTTAGTAGAGACGGGGTTTCACCATGTTGGCCAGGCTGGTCTCAAACTCCTGACCTTGTGATCTGCCTGCGTTGGCCTCCCAAAGTGCTGGGATTACAGGCGTGAGCCACTGCACCCGGCCTCCAGTATCCTTTCTTAGAGAAACTGGTCTCTAATATCTTTTTGAGGTTTTAATAAGTATCTTGTGTCAGACTTTCCTTTTCTATGATGGGTTGGATGTGAAGGGGGAGGATATGGAGGGGTAATTATATTCCTATTGGAAGCACCGATTTCCCTAAAGTGTGTATTTCTATTTCAGAGATTCAAAGCTGGCTGCTTAATCTCCCATCTCTTCTGTCTTCATCCTACCAACAGGTCAAAAATGACATTTTGAAGATTAGTCTTGCATCAATAACCAGGATGTTTTGAAATGGAAGAAATTGGACACAGGGAGACCAAAGAAGCTACTGTTACGGTAATGCACGTGAGAAATGAATTAGGTGAAAACATTGTATACGAAGAGAAAAAGATGAGCTCTCATAATTTGGAGAAGAAAAAACCCCATAAACTTACAGTGACAGAAGAGACATCCATAACAAAGGATTGGGAATAGATAACATTTATTTAACCCTAGGGACTGAAGGATTCATAATGCTATCTGCGGCATGCTGAAAACTGTATTGATTCTTCTGAATGTGCAGAGAAAGATGACCTCAGTTTGGGCATCACATAACTTTTTTAAAAGTGAAAAAGGAAGCAAATAATACTGTATATTTCATACACTATATCTTAATTTGAGATATATATGTATGTATATTTAAATTTAGAACCATATATTAAAATTTTTGCAGTGGTTATTTCTGAAAGGTGGTTTATGGATGGATTAAATTTCTTTCTTTGTACTTTTCTGTATTTTTCAAATTTTCTACAAACGACCATAGTAGAAAATAATAGAGAAGCTGCAAAAAAGGGAGAAAATTTTTATAATAGAGAAAAAGTTGCAAAAAAGGGGAGACACCCAAGTTTATAGTACTATATTTTAGGCAAATTGCCATGAAAAATTGTTAAACTTAAAAAAAAAACTTAAAGAGGTAAGGTTTGGTGTTATTGAGCACTTCAAATGTGGCTAGCTCAAACTGAGATAGCTGTAAGTATAAATTACCAAATGGATTTCAAAGTCTTAGTGCAAAAAGAGAATATGAAATATCTCATGTATTTTTAAACATTGGTTACATGATAAAAAAAATTTTGTTAGATTAAATAAACTATATTATTTTCTTAGTCCATTTTGTGCTGCTATAACAGAATGTCTGACACTGGTTAGTTTACAATTCTGGAGGCTGGAGTCCAAGGTCAAGGGGTGGCATCTGGTGATGGCCTTCTTGCTTCATCATCCCATGGCAGAAGGCAGGAGAGCAAGAGAATGTGTAGGAGAGAAATAGAGGGCCAAACTCATTTTTCTAACAAGCCCTCTCTTGAGATAACTAACTTACTCCCTCAATAACAACATTAATCCACTCACAAGGGCAGAGCCTTCATGACCTAATCGGCACTTATTAGGCTGTACCACCAACATTGCTGCATTGGGGATAAAGTTTCTGATACATAAACTTTGGGGAACATATTCAAATCATAGGAATTGTTAAAAGTAATTTTATGTATTTCTTTTTACTTTTTAAAATGTACCTACCAGAAAGTTTACAATTAAACATATGGCTGATGTTTGTGGCTATATATGTATTGGACAGTGCTGGTCTAGAATATCATCCAATTTTTAATAAACCCCTGAAACCCAAGTGACTTTAAGTGCTTTACCTTTCCCCTAACATCCTCTTCAGTATTATCCAATAAAAAGGCTTTATCCTCCATCCTAAGTGATCTCGTTCCTCTTCCTCTACCTCCAAAGGTTCTAGTGACTCGATGTATTTGGGGAAAATACAGAATCTATCTACAACACAGGTGGGTTTGCAGCTGGAACCTGTCATCTCATCCCCGTGTAGATTTTTGAAAGTACTGCCACTGATTATTATTATTGTTTTTTTTGAGACAGAGTCTTGCTCTGTCACCTAGGCTGAGTGCCATGGTGCGATCTCGGCTCACTGCAACCTCTGCCTCCTGGGTGGAAGTGACTCTCTGCCTCAGCCTCCTGAGTAGCTGGGATTACAGGCATGCACCACCATGCCCGGTTAATTTTTGTATTTTTTAGTAGAAACAGGGTTTCACCATGTTGGCCAAGCTGGTCTCGAACTCCTGACCTCAAGTGATGCACCCGCGTCAGCCTCCCAAAGTGCTGGGATTATAGGTGTGAGCCACCACACCTGGCCTACTTCCACGTTTTACTCCTTCTGCAAAACAATGCTAATGCAAGGCTACTTCAATTAACAGATGTTTCTGAAGTTTCAGGGAATAATTATAGCATATGCAGAAAACTGCTTCAGATTGTGTATTACTCCTCGCTCTTCTTGTACCTTTTCCTGCCATTCCCCACTAGAGGGGATTTCTCACTGCTTCAAGAGGAAGTGCCCTTCCTCCCCTCCCTTCTTTCTTCCAGAGTCCACTTCCCTTCTCAGAGCACCAGCTGACAACTCCAGAATTTCTTGAGACCTTATTGTGTGGAGCATTTTGGCCAAATATTTTTCACATAGCCTCTGCCTAGGCTACCTTGCACTTCAAAGCCAAATAGGCCCTTTTTGGTGCTTTCCAAAAGGCTACCCTGCTCAAATTCCCATGAGCTCTTTACAATAACACCATTTTATTTGGTTACACTAGTTTTGTTCATACACAGGTGGTGTAAGTATCATTATGAGCCAAGCTCTGTTGTATTGACAGTTCTCAGGTAACAGAAAGGCTGCAGGCATGGAATGCTGTCTGTCCTCCAAAAATTAAGATCAAATGGCTAGTGTTATTTGCAGATCAATACAGTGCTTATGAGTATGACACTCTCTGACACTTACTGGGTGACCTTAGGTGAGTTTCCTTGTCTCTCTCATTGAATTATCCAATGCTTAAGAAGAACTCTGTCATAATAATAATAATAATACCATCTATCTCTTAGGTGAGAATTAAAATGAGATCATGGCCAGGCGTGGTGGCTCACGCCTGTAATACCAGCTCTTTGAGAGGCCAAGGCAGGCAGATTACGAGGTCAGGAGAGCAAGACCATCCTGACTAACACAGTGAAACCTTGTTTCTACTAAAAATACAAAAAATTAGCCAGGTGTGGTGGCAGGCACCTGTAGTCCCAGCTACTTGGGAGGCTGAGGCAGGAGAATGGCATGAACCCGGGAGGCGGAGCTTGCTGTGAGCTGAGATTGTGCCACTGCACTCCAGCCTGGGTGAGAGAGTGAGACTCCGTCTCAAAAAATAATAATAATAATAATAAAATAAAATGAGATCATGAATCATCAACATTTATTACTGTGCTTGATCTGCAGTATGAGCTCAATAAATAGTACCTATGTTGGTTATTAATATTGCACATAACTCCAAGGAGTCCTAGGTAATAAGAAATTTATACCTCCATAGGGTATCATAGCTCTTAGAAATGCTTTTGGTTGCAAATAACAGAAAACTTGAACTTTGGTAGCTCAAACAAT
This sequence comes from Homo sapiens, assembly GCF_000001405.40. NCBI lineage: Eukaryota > Metazoa > Chordata > Mammalia > Primates > Hominidae > Homo > Homo sapiens. The sequence goes on from NC_000006.12 coordinate 13,828,297, forward strand.
TAGAGATTTATTTAATTTTACAGAACATCATTGGAAGTTGGCAATTCAGGGCTGATTCAGTGCTCAGCAATGTCATGAAAGACCGTGACTTCTTCTGTCTTTCTGCTCTATCCTGCTCAGTGAGTGGTTTTCATTTCTAGGCCTGTTGGATTCATAGTCACAAGATGGCTGCTGCACCACAAGGCCCCACAACCACATTCCAGGCTGGAAGAAAAGAGAAAGGTGAAGTAGCCGAATCCTCACACTAAGGCTTTGCCGTTTATTTCAGGAAGGGATGGCCTTCCCAGGGCCTTTTGCTCACATCTCATTGGTTGGAACTGTGTCATTAACCAGCCTCAGGTGTAAGAAAGGCTGGAAAGTCACGTTTGGCCTCTCTGCTTCAACAGAAAAGGAAAACAAAGCAAAAGTAGGGAAATGGGTATTGATCAAACCTGTAACATCAGTTAGAAGGAGGCAGTATAATTTGGCATGCCGAGAGGGCCAGCTTCTAAGCAAGTAGCATCATTTCCCCTACTGGGGGAACTCGCCCCCAACATTTCAATGTAGGTTCTTTCTATTTTCCGTAAGTGTCGGCCAGCTGAGAAATAAAGAGAGACAATACAAAGAGAGGAATTTTACAGCTGGGCCGCCAGGGGTGACATCACATATCGGTAGGACCGTGATGCCCGCCTGAGTCTCAGACCAGCAAGGTTTTATTAAGGGTTTCAAAAGGGGAGGGAGTGTAAGAACAGGGAGTAGGTACAAAGATCACATGCTTCAAAGGACAAAAAGCAGAACCACTGATAAGGGTCTAACAAAGATCACATGCTTCTGAGGGAACAGGACAAAGGGCAAAAGCAGAACCACTGATAAGGGTCCAACAAAGATCACAAGGCAAAGGGCAAAGCAGAACCACCGATAAGGGTCTATGTTCAGTGGTGCACATATTGTCTTGAAAAACATCTTAAACAACAGAAAACAGGGTTCAAGAGCAGAGAACCGGTCTGACCACAAATTTACCAGAGCGGAGTTTTCCCAACCCTAGTAAGCCTGAGGGTTCTGCAGGAGACCAGGGCTTATCTCAGTCCTTATCTCAACTGCCCAAGACAGACATTCCCAGAGTGGCCATTTATAGACCTCCTCCCAGGAACGCATTCCTTTCCCAGGGTATTAATATTAATATTCCTTGCTAGGAAAAGAATTTATCAATATCTCTTCTACTTGCATGTCCGTTTATAGGCTCTCTGCAAGAAGGAAAATATGGCTCTTTTTGCCTGACCCTGCAGGCAGTCAGAGTTTACGGTTGTCTTCACTTGTTCCATAAAAATCGCTGCTATTCTGTTCTTTTTCAAGGTGCACTGATTTCATATTGTTCAAACACGCATGTTTTACAATCAATTTGTACAGTTAACACAATTATCACAGTGGTCCTGAGGTGATGTACATCCTCAGCTTACTAAGATAACAAGATTAAGAGATTAAAGTAAAGACAGGCATAAGAAATTATAAAAGTATTATTTGGGAACTGATAAATGTCCATATTAAGATGAAATCTTCACAATTTACGTTCCTCTGCTGCGGCTTCAGCTGGTCCCTCCATTTGGGGTCCCTGACTTCCTGCAACTTTCCCCACCCTAGGAACGTAAGGACTAGAGCTGCAACATATGGGAACATACGTAAGTGTTCTGCTTCCAGCCAGGCTCTTGAGAGGGGAAAAGGCTCTCTGCCCCTTTTTGCTTTTCACTATCACTTATCAAGGGACTGTTATGTAACTAGGACTGAACAGCTGAATAACATTGATGCAGTCATTGACTTCAAAGGTGGAGGAACATATGCTTGTCAAACTGTATATTACATCCATAGAGATACGCATGTGATGCTGTGGGAAAATACAGAAGAGGGGGCCTCTGGCTCAGACTGGGAAATCAGGGAAGGCTGCCCAAAGGAGGTGACACTGGAGCTATGTTTGGAAAGATGGCAAAGATCTGGGACGGTAAACAAGGGGGTGGAAAAATATTACAAGTAGAGGTAACATGTGCAAAGACCCGGAAGTAAGGAGACCATGCAGGTGATTCAAAGAATTCTGAAAAGTTTATTAGGACTGGAGCTTAGGGTTTATGTTGGGGTCTAATGAGAAAGAGGACTAGAAAAATAGGCTGAAGCAGGCTTGAGGTTGCCTTGTTTGCCAAACCAACAAATGTATATGGCACCAAATGTATATGGCAGGACTTCAAGTCAGGGAACAATGTGATTAAACTCACATTTAAAATTACTTTAGTGGGCAATGTAAAAGCTAGACCAGAGGAAGGGAAGATGAGATCAGAGGCAGAGTGATTAGAAGGTAACTGGGAGAACTGGGGAGGAAGGCTGAGCATCTGAACCATCGTGGTGTTGGAGGCTGTCGCATCTAGAGGAGATTTGGGAGATGCTGAAGAGGTCAAATCAATGGGACTTGATAAGTGATTGGATATACATGTTCACGAGAATTCAGGAATGACACCATGTTTCTGGCTCAGGCAACTGGGTTGATGTGCTGCCTCGTGATATCAAAGGGATTACTGAAGAAGAACAAAGTAATTTTTGAGGAAGTATTGACTTTGGGCAAGTTGAGTTTGAAGTGCTTGTAGAATGTGTAAATGAGTATGTCTGGTAGGCAGCTTGGAGATACAAGTCAGGAGAGTGGTCTGGCAGGAGATACGGATTTACCATCTGCAAATAGATGATGGTTGAAGTCTCTGAAATGAGTATGCACACCACACCCCACCCCCAGGGGAATTGTTTCAGAGTCATCACAACCTCAAAGCCTCCCTTCCCCTCACCTCCCCTCCCCTCCCCTCCCCGCCCCTTCCCTTCCCTTCCTCTCCTTTCCTTTCCTTTCTTTTTTTTTCTTCTCTTTTCTTTGAGACGGAGTCTTTCTCTTTTCCCCAGGCTGGAGTGCAGTTGTGTGATCTCAGCTCACTGCAACCTCCGCCACCTGGGTTCAAGCAATTCTCTGCCTCAGCCTCCCAAGTAGCTGGGACACAGGCACCCACCACAACGCCCGGCTAATTTTTGTATTTTTTGTAGAGACGGGTTTTTGCTATGTTGGCCAGGTTGGTCTCAAACTCCTGACTTCAAGTGATCCACCCCCATCGGCCACCCAAAGTGCTGGGATTACAGGCATGAGCCATGGCATCTGGCCAAAGCCACCTTTTTGAGGCATCACTTATCAAGAAATATTTAAGGAAATGAATGTGTTAATTATGTCTTAATAAAACAACCATAAAGTTAATCTATATGAATGGTACCAATCAAATTAGAAGAAAATTTACATTTTAAATAAGAGTAATTAAGAACTCAAAGTCACTCGGTGTGGTAGGCAGCCTCCAGGGTGGTTCTCAGTATTATTCTGCTTCTTGATATTCATGTCCCGTGCATGCTTCTCCATCTTCTAGGGACTGCCTGTGTGACTAATAGCATATGGCAGAAGTGAGAGTACATCACTTGGGTCATTTACTCTGTGGGAAGAGAGCTGCCACGGCACGAGCAGCCCCTTGGAGAGGCCTACACAGTGAGGAACTGAGGCTTCCTCCTGACAGCCCTGTGAGTGCGCCATTTTGAAGGTAGAGCATCCGGCCCAGGCAGGCCTTGAGCTGACTGCAGCCCCTGCCAAAATCTGAACTGCAGCTTGGCCAGACATCCTGGCCAGAACCACCCAGTTAAAATGCCCCTGATAAGACTCAAACACTATGTCGGATAATAATGTTTACTGCTTTAAGCCACCAACCATGCAACTAAAGATAATTAATAAAAGAGGACATAATAATTTGTATAAAATAATTATGTCTTGTTTTCATGGAAATAAAATTCTTTATGATGATTTCAATACTTACTTGCATTAGTATTTTATTTTCTATAGAAACAATTCTAGATTTTACAACCTTTCTTTTGACATAGTAGACCTTAAGTAGGTTTTAAATAAATTTTAGTTTTGGGAAGCTATATTCTCCAGTGTGGAGAAATAATTTAAAGGCTCAGCATTCTTTTTTTTTGAGACGGAGTTTCACTCTTGTTGTCCAGGCTGGAGTGCAGTGGCGTGATCTCGGCTCATCACAACCTCCGCCTCCCAGGTTCAAGCAGTTCTGCTTCAGCCTCCCAAGTAGCTGGGATTACAGGTATGCACCACCACACCTGGCTAATTTTGTATTTTTAGTAGAGACGGGGTTTCTCCACGTTGAGGCTGGTCTCAAACTCCTGACCTCAGGTGATCTGTCTGCTTCGGCCTCCCAAAGTGCTGAGATTACAGGCGTGTGCCACCGCGCCCGGCCTAGGCTCAGCATTCTTATATTAGAATTTATAGCATTTTAAAGTAATGTATAGTAATAAGCTGCTGAATTTTAATACACATTAAAATTTTGCAATTATTACAATTTCATAATTAAAATAAATTATTGCTATAAAATAATTAGCCTAGCATTACTTATTAATTTCTAATTTATTTCCATATAATAGTTATTACTTTGAATTATTCTTGGTAAATACTATTAGTGGTTATATTATGATTGTAGATTTAAAATGTGAACTCAGCAATGCCATCTGATACAATAAAATGACAAATGATATGAACTGCAATATAAAATAGCAAATGTAACCAGCACACTAATATCAAAAAGCAATTTATTAGTAATTTTATGGCAATTGCTGATTAGCCCATCACTCGTGAAAGGAGCAACTCATTTAGAAACTCAGGTTATTTTAGTTATTGCTAGATCAACAAGGTTTTCTTTTTAAAATAAGTTAAAGTGGCATTGTTTATATCTATCCTGTTAGAACAAGGCACTTTACTTCCATTTGCTGGAAAAATTTTCTACTGGATGTACACATTCTTATCTTTGGAGGAAAAAAAGCCAAAAAAAAAATCACCCACCAAACCCCACAAAGAAATAAAGACACCTCTGATGTGAATGGCATGTGGTGATCTCATGAAATACACAACCTAAACGCATGTACATGGCCGCCCTGAGTGTGCAGGCTGAGAAAAGGTAGCAGACTGGGATACACTGCCTTTTAATCTGAGGAAGAAATGAGAATGACCAGTGGGATGCTGCCAGAGTCCTCCAGAGTTGGAGTCTTGAGTATAACTCTCTGGGTTATTTTCCCTCCCTCCCTAAGGCAGCTACAAAATTAGAAGAATCTGCTAGCCTTGCTTTAACCAAATTCTTTAAGGGAATCACTTGAGTGTCTGCGGTAAGAAAACACTGCACTGTAGACATCTCTGAGCTCAGGGTGCACCCAATGAGAAACAGCACTTTGAGGAGCTGAGCAGAGCGCTTCGGGGTCAGCAGGTTTACTGTCATCTGCAGAGCTTGCAGCGGGCTTGAAGAAGTACCACATGCAGGCCCACCCGACAGCCAAGGAAGGGTCCTGTTAGTTAGGAAAAGGTGCCCACTGATGCCAGCCCCTTGGAGACACTTGGGTAAGTGGATGAGAGCATCCTGTGGGACCCTGTTACAGCCCTGCCCAGTGAGTTATTTGGGAAAGCAATTTGTGGGGATGAGTTCAGAGCTGGGGAGAAGGAGGAGAACATATTCTGAAGTATAATGAACAGGACTTCCCCTCTCCTTTTTGTCTTTTTTCTTTGGGGCATTTCTTGAAAGGAAATCCCCTAGGAAATGGAAACTTAGAATGCAGAGTTTGTGCAGCCCAAAGTGGAAACATCTTTTCCCGGAAAAAGTTTACCAAGCTAAACGACATTCAGGAGGTGATTTTCACACATATGAGGGTTTGGGTCTGGGGACTTGAGGGCTTGGCGTGGAAGAGCTTGGTGACATATACTCTCTTCGAATGAGTGAGCATGTGTGATAGCAAAGACTTGGAACCAACCCAAATGCCCATCAATGATAGACTGAATAAAGAAAATGTGGCACATGTACACTGTGGAATACTACGCAGCCATAAAAAGTATGACATTATGTCCTTTGCAGGGACATGGATAAAGCTGGAAGCCATCATTCTCAGCAAACTAACACACGTACAGAAAACCAAACATCTCATGTTCTCACTCATAAGTGAGAGTTGAACAATGAGAACACATGGACACAGGGAGGGGAACATCACACACCGGGGCTGTAGGGGGTTGGGGGGCAAGGGGAGGGAGAGCTTTAGGACAAATACCTAATGCATGCAGGGCTTAAAACCTAGATGACGGGTTGATGGGTGCAGCAAACCACCATGGCACATGTATACCTATGTAACAAACCTGCACATTCTGTACATGTATCCCAGAACTTAAAGTAAAAAAAAAAAAAAAGAAAGAATGAATGAATGAGAACTGTTGAGTGAGCAACATAGCTACTTTAAAGCATTTGAGTATATTTATCATAACATTGAGTGATACATGTGCAAAAATATAACCAAAATAGAACTTTTTGGTTACAACAGAATCAATTAATTAAGAAACAAAATTTGCAATAATCATACCACTGCTGATTCCTATAAATGTAATATATCTTAGGATTCACATAATCCAGTTCTAGGATTCAAAGAAAAAAAGAACACCACAAAAGTCACTGAAAATAGTTCCAAATGTTATTTTTATAGTTCCAAGACCAATGAGGAGGTTCCAAGACCAATGAGGAGGCTCCATTGCCCCTTCTTCCTACTTCTTTCAAATTCCTCAGTGGCCACCGCACCTCTGAGCCTCTTCTCACTCTCACTTCCCTCCTGAAACTCTCCCAGACACCATTCCCTTCCAAGGTGCCTCTCTTTCTTTCTTATCTCCTTTTCTAGAACTTCCTTCCTCCTGGTCAAACCCTAATCTCCACTAAACTCCTTGGTAAAGAGTATCCTTCTTGCATGAGAATTTCCTGGTGAAAAAAATTATTCACCTCCTTATACAACAACAGAGTAATAAAAACTTAACATTCTTTACTTTAAAAAATGCCGTTGACTAATTTGATTATTTTGTTCAAAAATGTTTGTGTTGCAGCCATAAAAAAGAATGAGTTCATGTCCTTTGCAGAGACATGGATGAATCTGGAAACCATCATTCTCAGCAAACTAACACAGGAACAGAAAACCAAACACAGCATGTTCTCACTCATAAGTGGGAGTTGAACATTGAGAACACATGGACACAGGGAGGGGAACATCAAACACCCCGGCCTGTTGGGGGTTGGGGGCAAGGGGAGGGAGAGCATTAGGACAAACACCTAATGCATTCAGGGCTTAAAACCTAGATGATGGGTTGATGGGTGCAGGAAACCACCATGGCACTTGTATACCTATGTAACAAACCTGCACATTCTGCACATGTATCCCAGAACTTAAAGTAAAAAAAAAAAAAAAAAGAAGAAGAAGAAAGAAAGAAAGAAAAAGAATAAGAGAATGAATATGTGTGAATAGCTCCTACCCACAGAGAGCACTTCGAGGGAGAAATGCATGGGGGAACTCCTAGTGCAGGATGGCTGAGTTAAGTGACTTAGCAACATTCAATACCTAAGGGAAATTGGATGAAGGCTTGTGATTGGTTTAAGATTGATAGGAATATTTTCAGGTCACTTTTGTCATTTTCCCTGTATATCCCAGCCCTGGAGGTATCAGGTGTTTGACAAAATTCAAGGGACTCATGGATTTAGAGCTAGACTTAATTGTGGTCCTTTGAAGGTAAGAATGATGTAGCGATTTGTGTATCAGATGGCTTTTGTGTACCCCCCTCATATCCTTTCAGGCTTGACTCTGATTGTAGTCAGGGCTGGAGCAAATTGTTCTGTGTGGGCTTTGACTCATTTCTTGCTGACAGCATCTTACCTCAAGCACCAACTGTATATACCTTTTATGTTCTGCCCCAGGTTTCTCCAATCAATGGTATGGGATGACAGTGAATGTTTGCTCTGCATGCATGAGTGTGAAACCTACTAGACGGAAGGAGCGAGGCTTCTTGCATCACCATGCGGAAAGCTGCCTACTGAACAGTGCATGATTGGTCCATGACATGAGTGAGAAACACACCCCTCATATATGAGACCACCGAGATTTGGAGGTTATTTGTATACATATTAGCCTACCTTGACTAATACACCACTGTACAGCTCCAGGGGGAGCCATGCTCATAACTAGGATGTGAATGGTGGCCCTTCAGAGCTACACAGTACATAGCCTGCATGGCTGCACAGTAGCCCTACTTGTCTTTCCAAGAGAGAAGCCAGAAACACACTTTCCTAGTATCCCTTGCAATTGGATATGTGACCTAACCTCTGCCCTGCAAATATAGACACGTGCCAGAGTGAGGCTTTGGGAAACAATGTGAAGGCAAGCACCATTTTCCTGGTAATGATGATGGTGGAGGCATCGAGTTTCAGGGGAGGCAGTAAGAGCAGTTTTGGCATCTAATGCACAGCACCAGGTATGATCCCCAGGGCCTTTGCTGGTGTAGTGCTGTCATATGGTAGTACATTGGGCATTTTTCCTGGTTCTGTACTCTCCAAGCCTGATTGATTCTCCTGCAAATTCTGTGACTTACGTAAGTGTCTTTACTAAATTAAATTTCTGCTTAACTAACTAAATTGCTGTACTATTTAGGATGTAGGTTCAATATCTAAAACCACAAGCTCTACAGATAAGATTGAGATCTTTTCTTTCTCATGTAACCATACAAGGTTGATATGGTGGCTCCACAGTGTTGGCAAACCCACTGACTCACCAATCTTAGACAGTTGTCATTATCTGTCAACATGGGTCACCAACATTCTGGCATTCTACTCAGTCAGAAAAAGAAAGGGAAGATATGCCTTTTCCCTTTAAGAACATGACCTGGATGTTGAACACATCGCTTCCCCTTACATCCTCCATTGGCTAGAACATAGTTATATGGCCAAACCTAGTGCAAGAGCATCTGGGAAATGAAGTGTGAAAGTTGTCAGAATCAAAATGGAGTCACTAATGTTAAGAAAACTTTGACAAATAGAGCCAGAGAAGGTCATGAAGAGAAGATTCATAAATTAGCCGGGCGTGGTGGCACATGCCTGTAATCCCAGCTACTTGGGAGGCTGAGGCATGAGAATCACTTGAACCTGGGAGGCGGAGATTGCAGTAAGCCAAGATCACACCACTGCACTCCAGCCAGGGTGAGAGAGCAAGACCTGACTCAAAAAGAAAAAAAGAAAAAAGAAAAAAAAAGATTCTCACGCTTGTTCAACTGATAAGGAAAAAGACTACAAAAACCACAACCTTGGACAAAGGACTTTGCAACCTCATACAAAAAATACTTCTCCAAGGACATCTGCCCAGCAACTACCTGTCCAACCTCAGACTGGCATTACCCTTGCAATTGATCATTGTAGCCAAAGATAATATTTCAAAACAATTACATAATCTTCCTTATTATTTTTCTTTTTTTTTTTTTTTGAGACAGAGTCTCACTCTGTCACCCAGGCTGGAGTGCAGTGGCACGATCTCGGCTCACTGCAAGCTCCACCTCCTGAGTTCACGCCATTCTCCTGTCTCAGCCTCCCAAGTAGCTGGGACTACAGGCTCCCACCACCACGCCCAGCTAATTTTTTTGTATTTTTTTGTATAAAAGTAGAGACGGGGTTTCACCGTGTTAGCCAGGATAGTCTCGATCTCCTGACCTCATGATCCACCCACCTCAGCCTCCCAAAGTGCTGCAATTACAGGTGTGAGCCACCACACCTGGCCTTCCTTATCATTTTCTTTAAAAACCTTTGTCAGCTGGGCACACTGACTCACACCTATAATCTCAGCACTTTGGGAGGCCCAGGTGGGCGGATCACCTGAGGTCAGGAGTTTGAGACAAACCTAGCCAACATGGCAAAACCCCGTCTCTAATAAAAATACAAAAATTAGCCGGACGTGATGGCAGGCGCCTGTAATACCAGCTACTCGGGAGGCTGAGTCAGGAGAATCCCTTGAACCCTGGAGGCGGAGGTTGCAGTGAGCTGAGACTGCATCTCTGCACTCCAGCCTGGGCAGCAGAGTGAGACTGTTTCAAAACAAACAACAAGCAAACACCTATGTCTTCCTTTGCCTCCCTCAATATGCACATGGTTTACGATGGCATGCATATTCCCATTGCAATGCTCTATTCCCAGATAAACATCATTTCCTTTTAGAGCCTCACTCTGTTTGTTATTTAGGTTAACGTTACTTTCAATGTTCAGAAATCTTTGTTGGCTTCCAGAAATAGCATATGCAAAGGATCTGAGGTAAGGAAGAATATGAAATGCTGGGTAATGGCAAGTAGTTTGGTGTGACTGCAGCTTATGGTGGAGTGGGAGGCCTACTGGTGAAAGGTGAGGCCAGAGATGCAGCAGTGCCTATATGCCAAGATAAGGAGTTTAGACTTTATCATGGCGATGTTTTAGGCAAAGACAAGAGACGATTAGTTTGCATTTTAGAAAGGTCATTGTATTTGCATTTGCCTAAGTTCTTGCACAAAAGAGAAGCTGACTCTGGCTGATTAGGCAGAAATAGAGTTAATTAAAATACCATTGCATCATGGAATTATTAGGAACTTGGTCTGAAGTTCAGTTTCCAGGAACAGTGTCCCAAACCATGTGGCAGACCTGATTTGATGAGAAAGCTGTCCTTCCACTGTCACTATCGTCATGGAGCATTAGTTGCTATAGTTTGCACTGCTGCCAGCAAGTCAGCACAACTGAAATTTCCACAAACTCCAGCCACTGCAGCCATTTCTGCACCTTAGGAATCCAAGTTTGCAGACACTGCTGCTTCTGAAGGCTGGATACCTTTACCACCAGCAAGGAGATTCTACGTGGATCCTCCTGCCTACCCTGGTCTACTGCTGAATCAGATTCTGATTTAGACGTCTGATTGGTGGAGCTTAGGTTACAAGGTGCCTGCGAAGAAGCCTTTTGGGTAGCATTTTCTGAGTTAACTCCCCAAACATAGAAAGGATGTTTCAAAGGTACCGGCTGGCTGAAAAACATGCTAAATGCCCAAGTCATAACTTTTTCACATGGTCTGGCTTTCCAGAAATACACTGTCTGGACCCAGACATTTATCTTGGTCTTGGACAAGAGGGAGAAGGTAGCAATTCTTTTTGCTAAGCGCAGGTGTTACTTGTCTTTCCAGTTCCACATTTTAAAAAAACAATCACAAGTTTTAACTGAAATTTCATTGCCAGGCATTATGCCAGGTACTTTTATTACACTCCTCCTCAACTCTTTGCGCATCAACTCCCCACTATTAGACAGATGAGCAAACTGAGACTCAGAAAGTTTAAATGATTTAAAAAGGCCAGGGAACTTGGAAGTGAGGGAACCAGGATTCTAACCCAAGTTTCCTGACTTCAAGTCTTTTTCCATTATACTTTGTTGTGTATAAAACCCTAGAATTTTCTAAAATTAGAAAAAGATTTTAATAAGTTGTATGAACTTATTTATTTCCTTATTGCTGGTAAATGGGAACTCATGGATTTGGCTTATATAAAAACGTCTTTCTTTTTAAGTGAGCACAAGGAGCCTTCTACTCATTCCATGAGGTGTTTTTTATGTTTTTTTTTTTTTTTCCAGTTATTCCAGGGCCCCTGGAAACCTCTAGGTACCATCTTTTCTTAGAGCAGATATAAACCCCCCTAGCATCCCTAGAGCTGACTAGGCCGTAACCCTCATGGCTGCTGTGGATGATGGGCCTAACTCATGGTAACTCATTGTTGGTGATAACTGGGCCTTTTGGGAGGTACAATTGTGAATGCAAATTTGGGATTTAGCGCCAAACACTCTCCCACCCTCAAATGTTCATACCCTTATACTTATGAAAGGGTATTAAAGGTTTATACCCTTATACTTATGAAAAATAAGCATGATATAGTAAGTTTCTTATGATAAAAACAATTTATTAATTGCTTATCATACTGACATTTTGGCCTTCCCAGCTTGTTACTCTTGACATAATTTTTTTTCTTTTTTTTTAAGTCAGTGTCTTGCTCTGTCATCCAGGCTGGAGTGCAGTGGCATGATCTTGGCTCACTGCAACCTCTGCTTCCGGCGCTCAAGCCGTCCTCCCACCCCAGCCTCCTAAGTAGCTGGGACTGCAGGCATGCGCCATCGTGCCCAGCTAATTTTTGTATTTTTTTTGTAGAGACAGGGTTTTGCCATTTTGCCCAGGCTGTTCTCGAACTCCTGAGCTCAAGCAATCCTCCTGCCTTGGCCTCCAAAGGTGCTGAGATTACAGGTATCAGCCACTGCTCTCAGCTGACATAATTTTTTTTTAAAGAAAATCATTGTTTTAGTGTATAGTGAGTCCCTTTATTTAACTTTTAAAAAATGTTTTACTGATCTGTGAAAACTGAAAGATCATTTTACCTAAAGGAAGGCCTATTCTACTTGGAAATATTTGTGTATGTTTGCATGTGTGAGACAGACTTTTATATTGCCAGAAAAAGAAACACACACACACACACACACACACACACACACACACGCACTTCCTTAGTGAACAATACTGCAAACTATTTCTTTTAATCTTGATAATTTGACTGAAGCCGGGTCCAGAAATCTCACTGTTGCCTCCAAGGGCTGATCTGTTCCATTTCAAGGCGGCTGCCAAGGCGCCTGCCTATTGCTTCACTTTAGATTCAGCCAGTTCTAAGCAGGAGCCTGCCCAGATCCCGACTTCCCAGCTGTTACCCACTTTGGGGTTTGGGGCCTGCAGAAAATGAATGTCCAACAACGCATTTTATAAATGTTCAAGTTAATGTGACAAGTTCAAAATACATTTTTTTTTTTTTTTGAGACGGAGTCTTGCTCTGTCGCCCAGGCTGGAGTGCAGCGGCACGATCTCCGCTCACTGCAAGCTCCGCCTCCCGGGTTCACACCATTCTCCTGCCTCAGCCTCCCGAGTAGCTGGGACTACAGGCGCCCGCCACCACGCCCGGCTAATTTTTTGTATTTTTAGTAGAGACGGGGTTTCACCGTGTTAGCCAGGATGGTCTCAATCTCCTGACCTTGTGATTCTCCCGTCTTGGCCTCCCAAAGTGCTGGGATTACAGGGGTGAGCCACCTTGCCTGGCCCAAAATATTTTTTAGCAGAGAGCTCAGATGACATCAGGCTGGAATATATTTCATGAGCGTGGCTTCCCCAGTCCCCAGTGTTCTCATGGGATATGTGCGAGGCTGAGTCATGAAATCCTGCCAAACCAGAGACAGGTTTTCGAGTCCTGGGAAGCTCTGGTGGGGATTTAGCAATCCCCTCTATCACCCCAAGCAAGTCACCCTCAAAGGCTGGCACAGTTACCTTTTAGAATTGCAACCACATCATTTGGATCTAATATTTAGGTCCCAAGTACTATTTCTTATGATGCTATTAGTGCCATTTTGCTATAGTGTTTCAAAGATTACATATTGTGAAAATGACGAGTCATCACACAACTGCATCTCACCCGCCTCAAGATGCCCTGTCTGAGATAAGTGCAATAATTACCAGGCCAGGAGAAACCCAGCACAGCTGGCTTGCCAGGGCATACGCCCTCCACCCACAGTCCCACTTCTTTTCTCGACTTGACTCATCAGCTCCTCTAATACTGGGCTGGGATCAGACCAAGGAATCAATTCCTTGCTTATCTACCCAATATTGTTATGTTAAAAACTGCTGCTCTCTCTGGGTGAGAATAAAAGTATCTTCTGGGGATAAAGGTGACTGAAGTGGAATAGACGCGGCTCCAGGAGAATGTCATCTAGAGCACCATTGATTGTAGGTAGCATCCTGGTCTTTGAGGAGTTATCCGACCCTGTATATAACCTGCTGAGTCTGTGGGTGTGCAGGAAAGAGTTAACAAAACAGCCCCAAACTGCTATCCTTGAAAAGGTCTGCTTGCCAGGCTGGCCCTTGGCTGGTATCTGAGAACTCAGACTTTAGGAGGGTTCCCACTGTTAACTGATAGGAGTGGCTTAATGTGCCTAAGCTGTTTGTAGATACAATATGGTTTATGACAAATATCTGCTTTGCTTCTGGGAGTCTGGAATTTCAGTACATGTCCCGCAGAGGCTGTCTACATGACCAGTACCCCTCGCAAAAAACTATGAGCATTGAGTCTCTAATGAGCTTCCCTGGTGGGCACTATTTCACACCTGTGGTCACAACTCATTGCTGAGGGAATGAACATATTCTATGCGATTCTAATAGGAGATGATCTGGAAGCTTCTGCCTGGTTCCCCCCATGTCTCACCCCATGCACCTCCCTTTGCTGATGGCGCTTGGCATCCTTTTGCCCTAATAAATCATAGCCATGAGTATGTTTATATTTATATGCTGAGTCCTGTGAGTTCTCCTAGTGAATTACTGAAACCGAGGGTGATCTTGGGGACTTCTCACGCACAGGGCAATAAAAACTCCTCAACAGCAATGTAATGTCTGCCACATATGCAATGACTTAAAACCTATCTATCCTATAGAATGCAAGCTCCATGAGTTCAGGGGCTATGTTCTGTTCATCACTATCTTTAGTACGTAGTACAGTGCGTATAACACAAATGGTATTGGCTACCTTTTCTGAAGAACTGACTGACTAAACAGGATGGGAGGAGCAGGTTCTTAGCCAATGAACTGTGGGCAACTATATGGTATGGGTTTGAGCCCAAATTTGACTTCATTTTTGATCATGTAGATAAACGACCCAGATTGTGGGACAATATTTTAGGCTAAGTACCGCATCATACATGGTGCAGCCATCCCTGGCATAGGCCTGGTTCATATTTGTATGTTATGAAATATGATCCTGCCTATTTTCATTCACCTATAGTTCCCCCGTGTACTGGGTTAGAATAGTACCTCCCCTAAGTTCATGTCCTCTTGGAACCTCTGAATGTGACCTTATTTGAAAATAGAATCTTTACAGATATAATGAGTTAAAATGAGGTTAAACTGGGTAGGTGCGGTGGCTCATACCTGTAATCCCAGCACTTTGGGATGCCAAAGCGGGTGGATCACCTGAGGTCAGGAGTTCGAGACCAGCCTGGCCAACATGGAGAAACCCTGTCTGTACTAAAAATACAAAAATTAGCTGGGCGTGGTGGTGGGTGCCTGTAATCCCAACTACTCCGGAGGCTGAGGCAAGAGAACCCCTTGAACCCATGAGGCAGAGGTTGGAGTAGACGAGATCGCACCGCTGCACTCCAGCCTGCCTGGGTGACAGACTGAGACTACATCTCAAAAAAAAAAAAAGGTTAAACTGGATTAGGATGGGCCATAATCCAATGATTGGTTTCTTTTTAAGAAAAGACAGATGCAGGCAGACACAGAGAGGAGGCAATGTGAAGAGTCATCGAGGTGCGGTAAAAGGTGGGACTTGACTCCAAAGGTGGGGCTCAGTCACCAGGCCAGCCTGAGGACTAACTAAAACAGGGCCAGGGCAAAAGCGCTTTCAATCAGTCACGACCACCTGGGAGTTACCACCTCTTTCCATGGCAATGACCCAATGATTACTCCTTCCCTAGAAATTTCTGCATAAATTACCCCCTAATCTGCATGCAATTAAAAGTGGATATAATTACGACTGCAAAACTGCCCTGAACTGCTATTCTCTGCCTGCGGAGTAGCCCTCCTCTGCAGGAACAGTCATGAAGCTGACACACTGACTCTTCCATAAAGCTGTTTTCTTCTACCTCTGGCTTGCCCTTGAATTATTTCCTGGGTGAAGCCAAGAACCCTCGCGGGCTAAGCTCCGCTTTGGGGCTCGCCTACCCTGCATCAGAGGGAGAAGGCCATTTGAAGGGGGAGCCAGAGACTGGTTTGACGCATCTACAAGCCAAGGAATGTGAAGGATCGCTGGCAAATGCCAGAAGCTGAGAGAGAGAGGCATGGAACAGATTCTCCCTCAGAGCCTCCAGAAGGAACCAACACTGTTGACACCATGATTTCAGCCTCCTAGCCTCCAGAACTATGAGAGAATCAATTTCCATGGTTTTAAGCCACCCAGTTTGTGGTACTCTACTATAGCAGTGCTAGAAAACAGATACAGCCCTTAAATCCTGAGCCTTGTATGTGATGAAGTTACTTCTTTTTCCTTTGCACTTCCAGGAAACAGGCAAGTATTGTTGAATCACACTGGTGTACCTTTTACATTTTGGCTTATATAACTTAATATTTGTATCTGTAAACATAGGCCTTTATTCTTCTATACAAGCTCCTATCTCTAAATGAACGTGCCTAGATGGTTTTCTTCAGCCAGGTTTGATGTTAAAAAGAAATTACTCTACCAAAACCAATTATCTTGTATAAATATATCTGGACAGCTATTTGGAACTTAAGTATTCTTTTTTTTTTTTTTTTTTTTTTGAATTTCTTGTTTGGAAGAAATGGCATGATACAAATCCAACAAGTATATATTCACCAAAGTATATTATAAGTATTTTCCCCTCTATGAAATCAGTGAAGACATTTATACAGGGTGGGAGAAGAATCCTACAAATGCCGCAGCAATAAGCAGATCAGAATAAACTTCAATTTGATAAAAATACTCAGGGGCGGCCCGGCGCGGTGGCTCACGTCTGTAATCCCAGCACTTTGAGAGGCCAAGGCGGGTGGATCACGAGGTCAGGAGATCGAGACCATCCTGGCTAACACGGTGAAACCCTGTCTCTACTAAAAAAAATGCAAAAAAATTAGCCAGGCGTGGCGGCAGGCGCCTGTAGTCCCAGCTACTTGGGAGGCTGAGGCAGGAGAATGGCGCGAACCTGGGAGGCGGAGCTTGCAGTGAGCTGAGATTGGGCGACTGCACTCCAGCCTGGAGGACAGAGCGAGACTCCGCCTCAAAAAAAAAAAAAAAAAAAAAAAAAAAAAAACCTCAGGGGCACCTGACCAGCGGTGGGAGAGGGGAGGTGAAAATAAAAGCACGTTTATTTTTATCCATTAATAGATGGATAAAATGTGGCTCCAAAATGCGGCCCTGCTTTGGTGATGCGCCCCATCTTACTGGGATCAGAGAGTACAACGATGTTTTCAGTGACATTCTCCTCCTGCCATTGGCTAATCAACAACATTTACTAAGTGCTTATTCTGTGCTTATGAAGGTTAATGATCATCATTATCATCATGAGATAAATTACGAATATGAGATTTTTCTTTACTTTTCTTTTTTTTTTTTTTTTTTTTTTTTTTTTTGAGACGGAGTTTCGCTGTGGTTGCCCAAGCTGGAGTGCAATGGCTTGATCTCGGCTCACTGCAACCTCTGCCTCCCGGGTTCAAGTGATTCTCCTGCCTCAATCAGCCTGCCGAGTAGCTGGGATTACAAGTGCTCGCCACCATGCCCGGCTAATTTTTGCAATATGAGATTTTTTCTACCAAACTTGCTTTACCCAGCTCAGGCTAGAGGGCATTCCAAATGCACTCCCTTAGGGAAGAGTTGTTACAGTAGCAATATGAATAAAAATAAGAGTCAATCTTAGTTTTTCAGGTTTTTTTAGAATAAAAATTTCTCCTTGTTTTATTTACTTACTTATTTTTCAGAGATTGGGGGCCTTGTTATGTTGCCCAGGCTGGATTTGACCTCCTGGGCTCAAGTGGTCCTCCTGTCTCAGCCTCCCCACTAGTTGGAACAATAGGCATTAACCATCATGCCTGGCTTAGTTTTTGGATTTTTTTTTTTTTTTTTAAATTTGAGGCAGGGCCTCACTGTGTCACCCAGGCTGGAGTGCAGTGGTGTGATCTTTGGCTTACTGCAGTCTTCACTTCCCAGGCTCAAGGGATTGTCCTGCCTCAGCCTCCCAAGTAGCTGGGACCACAGGTGCCCACCACCACACCCAGCTAATTTTTGTACTTTTAGTAGAGATGGGGTTTCACCTTGTTGGCCAGGCTGGTCTCGAACTCCTGACCTCAAGTGATCTGCTTGCCTTGGCCTCCCTAAGTGCTGGGATTACAGATGTGAGCCACCTTGCCCAGCAAGTGTTTGGATTTTTTTTTTTTTTTTTGAGACAGAGTCTTGCTTAGTTGTCCAGGCTGGAGTGCAGTGGCACGATCTCAGCTCACTGCAAGCTCCACTTCCTGGGTTCACGCCATTCTCCTGCCTCAGCCACCCGAGTAGCTGGGACTACAGGCGCCCTCATCCTCCCAAGTAGCTGTGACTACAGGCGCCCACCACCACGCCCAGCTAATTTTTTTTGTATTTTTAGTAGAGACGGGGTTTCACCATGTTAGCCAGGATGGTCTCTATCTCCTGACCTCGTGATCCACCTGCCTCTGCCTCCCAAAGTGGTGGGATTACAGGCGTGAGCCACCTCGCCCGGCCAGTGTTTGGATTATAAAATAGGCTTTTACTTTCAGAGGGCAAGGATGGCGGATCACTTTAGCCAGGAGTTCGAGACCAGCCTGGGCAATGTGGTAAAACCCCTACAAAAAACCTCTACGAAAAATGCAAAAATTAGCCCGACATGGTGGCACACGCCTGTAGTTCTGGCTACTCTGGAGGCTGAGGTGGGAGAATCCCTTGAGCCTAGGAGGTTGAGACTGCAGTGAGCCAAGAGCGCACCACTGCACTGCATCCTGGGCGACAGAGCGAGACACTGTCTCAAAACAACAACAAAAAATACTTTTGTTTTTAAAATATGGGTTTTACTATTATTCAGGTACGGCGAGGCCAACAGATGAGGAGAGGACCGCCACTGAAAAAGATTGTTAAACTTTCCGATCCCTAGGGGAGGGGGTGCGACACCCAAGGAGGGCCACAGGGGGAGCACCAGCGTCAGTCAGGAGGCAGCAGGAGTGAGGCAAAAACACGGGCAGGGATTGGCTGGTTTGAACAATTTCAGTGGACTCTGGGGTGGAGGGACTGTCGTGAAGTGTCTGGTTCCTGGCCCTGTATTGTCCCAAGTATGGAGGAGGTAGAGGAGGTGGTGGAACGAGCGGGCTCTGGATGAACGTGTTTGCATATGAAAGGCACACTCGAGGGAGAATCCTTTACTGTCGCTAGGAATTGGCTAATCCTGGGAGGGGCAGTCTCTCCAGGGTCAGCAAGACCCTGTGAAACCGCATTTGCAGAATTACAAATAATGAGAGAAATCTGACATGGCTGACTCCATCTTGCTTCTAATCTCACAGGCAAAATTGCTTTTTTGCTTATTCTAGCACAGAGGCCATAACTCACGGCTATGGATAACTCATAAGCAATGAGAAGAATTCGGTTTATAGTTAAACTTGGAGGTCAGGGAAATTAACCCCACTCTTTGTCCGGAGATTGAAGCTGCATTCGTAAGACAAGGTTAGACTTACGGACTTTGCTAATGAATAGGCAGAGTTAAACAATGACCTGCCATTGCTTAGCTTGTTTTCCTATAAGCTGCTGACTGCCCCAGAGTCATGTAACTGGGGTTCCCGAGTTTTATAACTTCCCCAATGACTCCTAGATAACAGCACCATTGTGAAACCTAAAAAACTCGTTTTGAGATATTTTCGGTAGACCAAGAGATGCTGCCTGGTCCTGAGACACTCCTCCCACCCACCCCTCCTGGAAACTGACTCAGTGACATGAAGACAGTTTTAGACACCCCTATGATTTCATCCCCAGCCAATCAATTGTTGCAGTTCCCCAGCCCTGTGCCTTCCAAAGTACCCTTAATAAACCCTAGCCTCCAAATTCTCAAAGAAATGGGTT